>NT_187532.1:0-205312 GCF_000001405.40 Homo sapiens | reverse complement strand
AATTCCTAGAAGTAAATTTGAAGGAGTAGATGTAGAATCTTCAGACTTTCACCGCGTCAGGCCGGGCACGGTGGCTCACGCCTGTAATCCCAGCATTGTGGGAGGCCAATGCCGGTGGATCACTTGAGGTCAGGAGTTTCAGACCAGACCAGACGGTGAAACCCCATCTCTACCAGAAATACAAAAATTAGGCTGGGCACAGTGACTCACGCTGTAATCCCAGCATTTTGGGAGGCCGAGGTGGGAGGATCATGAGGTCAAGAGATTGAGACCATCCTGGCCAACATGGTGAAACCCCGTCTCTACTGAAAATACAAAAATTGGCCTGGCGTGGTGGCACAGGCCTGTACTCCCAGCTACTCAGAAGGCTGAGGCAGGAGAATCCCTTGAACCCGGGAGGCAGAAGTTGCAGTGAGCCTTGAGATCAGGAGTTCAAGACCATCCTGGCCAACGTGGTGAAACCCCGTCTCTACAAAAAATACAAAAAATTAGCTGGGGGTGGTGGCACACGCCTGTAATCCCAGCTACTCAGGAGGCTGAGGCAGGAGAATCGCTTGAACCTGGGAGGTGGAGGTTGCAGTGAGCTGAGATCACACCACTGCACTCCAGCCTCAGTGACAAGAGTGAGACTCCGTCTCAAAAAAACAAAAAGAATTAACTCCCATATATGAGGAAGAACACTTTTTAGGCTGCTGTCAATGAACAAAAGCAAAAACAGGATTTTAAAAAGAGGGAAGGAGAAAAAGAGTAGTATGGGAAGAGTGATTTTTGTTTTTACATTTTTTTAGCCAATAGATAGGCGGGTGGCTGGGCAAGGGCCCCACTAGGCCGTCTGCCCCTGAGCTGGCTGGCGGGGGCTGCGGGAGGCCGCCCTTTCCTTCTGGATTCTCTGGGAAGCCAGGAGAGTTCAGCCGTGCCGTATGCGACTGGGGGGCTCTGTGTGAGGTCTCTCAGGGCCCCTTTCCTTGGCCACAGCCCCTTGTTGAGGGGAGTCCTCAGCACTCCCTCCTCAGAATGGCTCCCAGTAACTACCTCCTGGGGTTGGGACCGAACAGTATCCGTGCCAACACCTAGAAACATCGGAACATCGCAGTCACTTCTGCCATAACTCTTGTTTCAGAAACGCTAATTTGTTCCAACATGATTGACATAGTAGGGTACAATCTGAGGTAAGTGTGATTTTTTCAGTTATTTATGAGCGGTCTCATTTCGGGCCCTGTGCTGGCCACGGAGACGTGGGGGACGGGGCTAGACGGCACCCGCGGTGAAACCTAAGGCAGCGGAAAAGCCAGCACCCTGCGCCCGTTGGCCTGGGCTTCCTCTGGGTCTCGGATGTCGGAGACAATTTTTCACTGGTTCCCCACGTTTCTGCAAGTCTCAGGAGCAGATGCGCCGACGGCCTTTTGCTCTGGACTCTCGTCAAGGACGTGTATATAGTGAAAGTCTCGGCGCGCAGGGACAGCGTCTCCCTCTGGGGCAGAAGCGAGATTTGCTCGCTGTCCAGTGTAACAAAGACGACGTCCACCCCCGGGAAAGGTTGGGCAGGTTTGCTTCGCAGCCCCTCATGACAGTCCGGCGTTTCCTAAGCACGGGGATCCCCGGCGGTGAGGCAAACCCAGCTGTGCCACAGAATCCACCTGGGCCTCTGCGTAGCCCCCGTGGGGTTTGGGGAGCAAAGGAAACGGGAGTGAAGAGGAAGCTCGTTCACACTGAGCAACGTGCCGTGCCGTGAGTGACAGAGTCCTCTGCCCTGGGCCAGGGTCTCTGGTCTTCTGCCAGCGTCCTTCAACCATGGCAGGCTCGCCCGTGAGCTTGCAGGCCGGTGAAAGCTCAGGCCTTCCCAGATCTTCATACGAGGAGGTCTTCTCAGCTCAGTAAGTGGACTGTGAAACGATGGTGTTCGGCCTGGCCCAGGAGGGAGCTGCAGGGGAGGCGAGGCTGGGGCACTGGCACCCGTACTGGCACTGGCACCCGTAGGTCTGTCTGGGGAAAAACCCGGGGCAGGAGGGCAGGAGAGGAAGCGAAGGTTTGCCTGGGTTGGAAACAGCCCCAACAACTCCCTGGCCAAGAGCCGCCTCTTCCCTGAAGAAGGAAGCCTTGGGGGCAGTCCCTGGGGCAACATGAGGAGCGGCCTCCTCCGGGCAAGCATGCGGGCCTTCAGGGGACCTTGGCAGGGCTTCCTGAGGGGCAGGAAGGCGACCGCGAGGCCGAGGCAGGTAGGCAGGGCCTGACCCCGAGGGGAATCTCTGGGGCCAGAGGGAAGCTGGAAGTGTCTGGCCAGGGGCCAAGGGGGCTCCTGCGGAAGCCCCCGGACAAGGACTTTCCCGTTCTGGCTCCCGCTCACCTCTCTCATTCCCCATGAACTCCAGGACCCCCATTTCAAGTAGAAAACAGCCGTCCCGAGAAAATCCCCAAACACGAGAGCCCTCTGCACAGCCCCTCGGCACTTCCCACCCAGCACGCGAGCTGGGGGATGCTGCTCCCAAGCCGCAGGCTCTTCCGTAAGCTCTTCTGGAAACTTTCCTCCTCCCCGAGGCAGCCCCAGCGGCACTTGGACTCCAGCAGTGCCCAAAACCACACAGGGCACCTGGACTCCAGCAGTGCCCAAAACCACACAGGGCACCTGGACTCCAGCAGTGTCCAAAACCACACAGGGCACCTGGACTCCAGCAGTGCCCAAAACCACACAGGGCACCTGGACTCCAGCAGTGCCCAAAACCACACAGGGCACCTGGACTCCAGCAGTGCCCAAAACCACACAGGGCACCTGGACTCCAGCAGTGCCCAAAACCACACAGGGCACCTGGACTCCAGCAGTGCCCAAAACCACACAGGGCACCTGGACTCCAGCAGTGCCCAAAACCACACAGGGCACCTGGACTCCAGCAGTGCCCAAAACCACACAGGGCACCTGGACTCCAGCAGTGCCCAAAACCACACAGGGCACCTGGACTCCAGCAGTGCCCAAAACCACACAGGGCACCTGGACTCCAGCAGTGCCCAAAACCACACAGGGCACCTGGACTCCAGCAGTGCCCAAAACCACACAGGGCACCTGGACTCCAGCAGTGCCCAAAACCACACAGGGCACCTGGACTCCAGCAGTGCCCAAAACCACACAGGGCACCTGGACTCCAGCAGTGTCCAAAACCACACAGTCCCGGGATTTTGATGAGTCAGCACCAACACGTGTCCCAGTGCTCACAGAACTACGCAGGTTGGCGGTTGCACAAGCGCCAAAGGGGCCCTGGCTTCACGGCTTCATTTATTCTTGTTACTACTCCCTGCATGGCTTGGCCTGGGCTGCGTCCACGGCTGCGAGGCTCCTGTCCGCCTCATGGAGGCAGGTGAGGCCAGCGCCACCCAGGCCCTGCTTTTCTGCTTTCTCCACTTGTCTGTGGCCCTCCTGGGCAGAGGAGACCGTAGTCTCAGCATGGGCCTGATGAGGCACAGCTGGGGGCTTCTGGAGCTGCCATCTACCCAGGACAACCGTCTTCCCGTGTCCCTGGGGGCTCTGTGCTCTCCATGGCTCCTTAGTTCAAGGTCTGATCCGCACGCCTGGATCCAACCTCTACATTTGTTCAGCGCTCCCCTCCTGCCCTCCCCACCTCTTCCTGGCCTTCCTACCCTCTGTAGGCATCTGATGAAAGACCATACTTCAGGTCCTGAGAAGGATAAAGTAAGTTATTGGTTTTTAAATGCATAGATCACTTACACAGAAACACAGACTCACGGATAAAAACACCTGAGTTTTAGTTTTGCCTCTTGCTTCTGCAGAGGGCTGGTGGGGAAAGAAGGAGAGGCTCTAATCAAAGAGCAAGAATTTGGGTTTTTTCCTAATACTTTATGCAAAGTACAGTGATCTTGACTCTGACGGCACAGGGGCTGGAGGTGGGGCGTCTTTCCCACACCAGGTTCCTCTGAGAGCCGGGCTTGTGGCTGAATGCCAACATCAAGTTTCTTTGGAGAGCCGCACTCAGGCCCCTGCGCTGGTAGGGTCAGTTGGGTGAGGGCCTGCCTCTTGGCAGAGGGGCCAGAATAACGGAGGGTAGGTGGCCTAATTGTCATCACGTGACCAGGGCTTTGGGGATTGGCTGCTCCTGCGTGTTAAAGGGTGTGACACATTCAAAGACTCTCCAGGCAATAACGGCTTATGAATGTTTTTAAAGCAGTTTTTTTTTTTTAAGTGAATCTTGGCCAGGCGTGGTGGCTCATGCCTGTAATCCCAGCATTTTGGGAGGCCGAGGCGGGTGGATCACTTGAGGTCAGGGGCTTGAGACCAGCCTGGCCAGCATGGTGAAACCCCGTTTCTACTAAAAATACAAAAATTACCTGGGCGTGGTGGCGCACGCCTGTAATCCCAGCTACTCAGGAGGGTGAGGCAGGAGAATCGCTTGAATCCGGGAGGCAGAGAGATCATGCACTCCAGCCTGGGCAACAGAGTGAGACTCTGTCTCAAAAAAAAAAAAAAAAAAAAAAAAGACCAGCCTGGGCAACAAAGTAAGACCCTATCTCTATAAAAAATAAAGTAAGTTTTTTAAAAAGCAGATCTCACATGTAGATGAAGCTAATATAATAGTAACTGTGTTGTATGTAATAAATGCTATGATATAACATCACAATATATTGATTATTAGGTAATATGTATCAATTATTATAATGTAGATATTGGAGCTGACATTTAACTCCTCTCACACTGACAGATTACATCTGGGGTCTGCAGGCTTTAACAACTTGGAAAGTTGGTCTAGTGTCAGAATTTTAAGAAGCCCTCCAATCCCAGACCCCCGTCTTCTTTGCCCTTGTGTGTTATGCTCGGCAGTAGGCTGATGCGACCTCATTGCTTCTGCTTCTCAAAACTGCATTCTCACAGACTTCTCTCCCCATCTCGAAATCACAGGGCTTGAAGAAGTTACCAACTTGCCAACTGCTGCATGAAACACCTTTTACCCGCATGTGAGAATCACCTTTACCCGCATATGAGAAACACCTTCACCTGCATATCAGAAACACCTTTACCCACATATGAGAAACACCTTTACCTGCATGAGAAACACTTTACCCGCATACGAGAAACACCTTTACCCGCATACGAGAAACACCTTTACCCGCATACGAGAAACACCTTTACCCGCATACGAGAAACACCTTTACCTGCATACGAGCAACACCTTTACCCGCATATAAGAAACACCAGCTCACCTGGCCCAGCCACTTTGTGAGGACCCCTGAGACGACAATAGTCTCCTGAGCCCTGTGGCCAGATCCACCCCCTCACCATTCCAGAATGATTCCCTCAGCCAGAATCAGGCATTGCCACCACATCATGTCTATGACCTGGCCCTCCACCCAGAACAACCCCAGACTCTCCTTCCAAATAGTTTGTTTCTCTTTCCATGCCCACATCTGGGGGGCGGTGGCGTGGGGACGCTAACATTTGCTGAGAATCTACGACGTACTAAGCTAATAGGAATTACGTCTACTCTCCCCACTGTGCAGACATGGAGACTGAGGCTCAGCTAGGAAGTGGCTTGCCCACAGTGACTCCAAAGCTCCTGCTCTTTCCCCCAGCACCCACTCTGCCTCCTACAGCTCAACAGTAGCCCCTCTCTCACCCTGCTCCTCCAGCACGAAACCAGGAGTGCCAGGCTAGATGTTGCCCGAAGGCTCGCCCCCTGGGCCTCGCCAGGTCCCGGCAGCTTATGCTGTCCCTGGCACCTTGGGGCCAAAGCCGTCTCCGGACCCTGGAAGCTGAGCTTTCATTTCAGTGACAATGTCCATGCAGGCTTATGACGCATCACCCTCTTGCCCCCTCCTCCAGCTCCAGGAAGTGTGAGTGGGAACTGGGGCCGAGGAGTGAGAACACTCCAGGTGCACCCGAGGAAGCAGTTTCAAGGGGTGTGGCTTGGTGAGAAGTCCCTTTTTCCTCTAAAGGGAGAGTCTGGCATGTGTAGGCTAAAGAGAGTGTCTAGGTCGGGCTCCTGCTCACCTGGAGGGAATGCGGGGGTCACAGGCGGGTGAAGAGCAGGCGGACACACCTTTCTGTGCAATGCTTGAGGTTGAGGTGGGGTACGTTTATTTTTAGATATACTGTCCTGTCTCTCTCCCCTCTCCCACCCTTACCCCTTACCTTCTTCTCTGGTTACAGAAGGAAACAAGGGAATGTGATACCTTCCAGTCAATAGCAGGTCAACCTTTGAGAGAGCAGGGCTGAAACCACTGAGGCAGGTGTGGCCACTGCTGCCTGGGCCCTGCTTTTCTGCCCTCCTGGGCAGGGGAGGGGGTGGTCTCAGCACGGGCCTGATGAGCTACAGCTGAGGGCTCCTGGGGCTGCCATCTGCCTGGCCTCATGATCCAAGAAGTTAGATCGAGGAATAGTCAAGCTGGTCCCTTGGTCATGCCGCCTGGCTCCTGACTCAGTGGTGACAAGAGCCGAGATTTGGGGGATTTCCAGAGCCAGCCCAGGGTGATGTGGGCACACCTGCTGGTCTTCCCAAATAGGTCATCATTCGGCAAGAATCATCTATTGTCATGACCCATACACCTACCCTGCCCCAAATTTTCTTCAAGGAGGTTGTACTGGGGTGAGTACGTGTCCCCCAAAATTCATGTCACTCAGAATGTGACCTTATTTGGAAATAGGGTCTTTGCAGAGGTTATTAGTTAAGTTAAACTGAGGTCATGCCGAATTGAGGCAGAGCCTAATCCAGTGACTGGTGTCCTTATGAGAAGAGGAAACAGAGACACACGCACAGGGGAGAAGATGGCCACACAACACGATGGAGGCAGAGGCTGGAGGGACACGGCTGCCAGCCCGGGAATGCGGAGAATGGCCAGCCACCCCTGGAAACCAGGAGAGAGGCCAGGAGGGCTCCACCCCAGAACCTCCGGAGGGAGTGTGGTTCTGCCCACGCCTTGATTTTGGACTTCTGGGTTCCAAACTGTGAAAGAATAAATTCCTGTTTGTTTGAAGCCACCGAGTTTGTGAGCACTAAGGCAGAGGCCTTCCTGGATGGCCCTCACTGAGGCTTGTCTGTTGCCTGGCACACAGTCATGCCCAGGGCCACAGACCCTGTTGCTAAATGATCCTCTCTCCATGTTTAGATTCCACTAGCTCGTGACCCCGTGAGGGCACATAGGGCCACGTGGTAATGTGTCCGTCGCATTGTCAGGCTGCTCCTCTGCCTGCATTCTGCCTCCCCTGCACACCGGGGAGCAGAGCTCACCAGACCCCTCTTCTGTCCCCTGGCCAGCTTCAGCTGGTGCCTCCTCTCCCCAGGGAGCAAGGGGAACAAGGAACAAGTCTCACTTTCCAGCCTGATGGGCTAATCTCACTGCCTTCTTTCTCTGTTCAAATTTTGTCTGGATCACTTTCTTCAGGACAGTCGCTGGGCTAAGCATAGTGTCCAGTATCAAAATGAGAAGCCTGGCAGTTGGTCCTGGATCATAGCTGGGAGCTCACCCAGGAAAGAGCTGGGATGGGAAGGGGTTCTCCACCTTTTCCCCACCCACCTGCAGAGTCTTTAATCCACCCATCATTTTTAGGCTTCCGGAGTAATTATTCTATTTATTTTATTTTATTATTTCAAGACGGAGTTTCGCTCTTGTTGCCCAGGCTGGAGTGCAGTGGTGTGATCTCAGCTCACTGCAACCTCCGCCTCCCAGGTTCAAGTGATTCTCCTCCCTCAGCCTCCCAGGTAGCTGGGACTACAGGTGCACACCACCAACATTTCTACTAAGTTTGTATTTTTAGTAGAGATGGGGTTTCTCCATGTTTGTCAGGCTGGTCTTGAACTCCCGACCTCAGGTGATCTGCCCGCCTCGGCCTCCCAAAGTGCTGGGATTACAGGCGTGAGCCACAGCGCCCGGCCCCATTGTCAGCTCTGCTTCCGCCATTAGACCATCAACATTAAAAGGGTTAATTGATCACAAGTGTCCAAAAAAGTGCCGACATCCTGGACAGAGCAAGCTCATGTTTATGGACTTCTGACTGTAGAAGGAGGGTCAGAGCCGCCGATCAGAACACACCAGCTCTGCTTCCAGGTTCAGGAAATGATCCTGAACACAGAAGGCACTTTGGGTACAAAGCCTCTGATCCGGGCATTACCTGTAACAGGGACGCCGTGAATAACCCAGTGTCCAAGTTAGTTCAGTTATGGTGGCAGCCAATGCAGTATCACGTGGCCTTCAGAAATGTGTGAATGGAGTTTTATAATAATTGGGGAGACTTTTAGGTTTAAAGCTAGGTCATGGCCCGGCGCAGTGGCTCACGCCTGTAATCCCAGCACTTTGGGAGGCTGAGGCGGGCGGATCACAAGGTCAGGAGTTTGGGACCAGCCTGACCAACATGGTGAAACCCCGTCTCTACTGAAAATACAAAAATTAGCCAGGCATGGGGGCACGAGCCTATAATCCCAGCTACTCGGGAGGCTGAGGCAGGAGAATGGCGTGAACCCAGGAGGCGGAGGTTGCAGTGAGCCAAGATCGCACCACTGCACTCCAGCCTGGGTGACAGAGCGAGACTCTGTCTCAAAATAAATAAATAAATAATAAAAATGAATAAATAAATAAATAAATAAAGTTAGGTGGTAAAGAGGAGATCAAACTATATCTAGGATATGATAGATTTAAACTATGGATATGAGCTATGTATGAGAAACAAGCCAGAAATCTCTCAACGCGTTAATAGGGTTGTTCCTGGGTGGTGAAACATTGATGATGTTTTTCTTCTCTCTACTTTTAAATATTTTCATATCTCTGTGGACAGTGTGCATTACTTTATAATGAAAAAAGAAACCCAGTAAACTTCATTTTAAAAGATGGCTTTCGGCCCGGGTTGGGCTTTCTGTCAGAACCCCGCGTTGGAGAGCTTTGTGGGCCCACCCTCATTCAGTCCCCATGGTGGCCGCATGTACGTGTCCCCTGTGGCAGACGTTCCGCCTGGGAGCAGCGGTCTAACTGGGAGCCAGGAGTGTGCAAAGACAACCGAACAGACGTGGACGCTCGGCAGCAAGACAGAGAGGGCGCTGGAAACCCGGGCTCCGGGACACACCCTGCCGCTCACCGGCTGCGCCAACAAGGACCTCCCTTCTCTCTGGGCCCACACCTCCTCCACGGTAGAATGAGGGCTTCGGATGACATGGTCACCAGGGTCTCTTCCAGTTTTAAAATTATGTTAAGATCCTCTTATTCTTTCAAGCTTTACAAAGGGAAGCCCCACAAAAGGACACAGGTGGCAAATCCGGGGACCTGGATGCTGGGTCACCGACTTCATGTTCTTGCTGACTTCCTGGCCTCGGTTTTCTTCTCCTTAAGGCTGGGTGAATGGAATGAGTTTAGATCCCTGGACCTCCAGGCCCTCCTGTGCCCCGGGGTGGCCCTGCTTCACAGGGATGCCCGTAAGAAGACGTTGCATGCGTAAAAATCATGCCCTGCTCCACCACAGAGGTGAGATGAGACAGGAAATGAGCTAATTGGCGTGAGAATGCTTGGCACTTTTAGGGAAAGGAGAAACCGAATCCCAAGAGAATGACAGTGGCCTTTGTGTGACCCTAGTACCAGGGCCCCTGCTTTCGCCATGGCCTCAGATAGAGGCCACATACAGCAGGTGCTGGGCCCCCAGCCCACCCACCTCCCTGCTTTCACCATGGCCTCGGATAGAGACCACATACAGCAGGTGCCGGGGCCTCCAGCCCGCCCGCCTCCCTGCTGAACCATGGAATAAGGAGCTGCAGAGGAGGAAAGATTTTGGAGTCGTGCTGACCTGGGTCTGAATCCCAGCTCGGAGGGCCTGCTGCCACATCTGTACGTGGGCATCCTCTTTTACGTGAGTGTCTCGGGTCGGGTCCTCCCAGAAGCAAATGCTGAGTTGGTGGAAGGAATGTGAAGGCTATAGGGGAGTGGCACCTGCTTAAGGAGAAGGAGGCCGGGCTGGGCAGGAGGATGTGGCACCTGGTAAGGAGAAGGAGGCCGGGCCGGGCAGGAGGATGTGGCACCTGTGTAAGGAGAACGAGGCCGGGCCGGGCAGGAGGATGTGGCACCTGGTAAGAAGAAGGAGGCTGGGCCGGGCAGGAGGATGTGGCACCTGGTAAGGAGAAGGAGGCCGGGCTGGGCAGGAGGATGTGGCACCTTGTAAGGAGAAGGAGGCCGGGCCGGGCAGGAGGAAGTGGCATCTGTGTAAGGAGAAGGAGGCCAGGCCGGGCAGGAGGATGTGGCACCTGCGTAAGGAGAAGGAGGCCGGGCTGGGCAGGAGGATGTGGCACCTGGTAAGGAGAAGGAGGCCGGGCTGGGCAGGAGGATGTGGTACCTGGTAAGGAGAAGGAGGCCGGGCAGGAGGATGTGGCACCTGCATAAGGAGAAGGAGGCCGGGCCGGGCAGGAGGATGTGGCACCTGGTAAGGAGAAGGAGGCCGGGCAGGAGGATGTGGCACCCGGTAAGGAGAAGGAGGCCGGGCCGGGCAGAAGGATGTGGCACCTGGTAAGGAGAAGGAGGCCGGGCCGGGCAGGAGGATGTGGCATCTGTGTAAGGAGAAGGAGGCCGGGCCGGGCAGGAGGATGTGGCACCTGCGTAAGGAGAAGGAGGCCGGGCTGGGCAGGAGGATGTGGCACCTGGTAAGGAGAAGGAGGCCGGGCTGGGCAGGAGGATGTGGCACCTGGTAAGGAGAAGGAGGCCGGGCAGGAGGATGTGGCACCTGCGTAAGGAGAAGGAGGCCGGGCCGGGCAGGAGGATGTGGCACCTGGTAAGGAGAAGGGCGGAGGCCAGGCTGAGCAGGAGGATGTGGCACCTGGTAAGGAGAAGGGCGGAGGCCAGGCTGGGCAGGAGGATGTGGCACCTCGTAAGGAGAAGGGCGGAGGCCAGGCTGGGCAGGAGGATGTGGCACCTCGTAAGGAGAAGGGCGGAGGCCAGGCTGGGCAGGAGGATGTGGCACCTGGTAAGGAGAACGGCGGAGGCCAGGCTGAGCAGGAGGATGTGGCACCTTGTAAGGAGAAGGGCGGAGGCCAGGCTGAGCAGGAGGATGTGGCACCTGGTAAGGAGAAGGGCGGAGGCCAGGCTGGGCGGAGGATGTGGCACCTGGTAAGGAGAAGGAGGCCGGGCCGGGCAGGAGGATGTGGCATCTGCGTAAGGAGAAGGGCGGAGGCCGGGCTGAGCAGGAGGATGTGGCACCTGTGTAAGGAAAAGGAGGCCGGGCTGGGCAGGAGGATGTGGCACCTGTGTAAGGAGAAGGAGGCCGGGCTGGGCAGGAGGATGTGGCACCTGCGTAAGGAGAAGGAGGCCGGGCTGGGCAGGAGGATGTGGCACCTGCGTAAGGAGAAGGAGGCCGGGCTGGGCAGGAGGATGTGGCACCTGCGTAAGGAGAAGGAGGCCGGGCTGGGCAGGAGGATGTGGCACCTGCGTAAGGAGAAGGAGGCCGGGCTGGGCAGGAGGATGTGGCACCTGCGTAAGGAGAAGGAGGCCGGGCTGGGCAGGAGGATGTGGCACCTGCGTAGGGAGAAGGAGGCCGGGCTGGGCAGGAGGATGTGGCACCTGCGTAAGGAGAAGGAGGCCGGGCTGGGCAGGAGGATGTGGCACCTGCGTAAGGAGAAGGAGGCCGGGCTGGGCAGGAGGATGTGGCACCTGCGTAAGGAGAAGGAGGCCGGGCTGGGCAGGAGGATGTGGCACCTGCGTAAGGAGAAGGAGGCCGGGCTGGGCAGGAGGATGTGGCACCTGTGTAAGAAGAAGGAGGCCGGGCTGGGCAGGAGGATGTGGCACAGCTGACACAGCCACAAAGCTCCTGCCCATGGGGCGCTCTGAGGGGCAGACTGCCTGTTGGCGGAGTCTTGTGGGGTGGAAATGGTGAGGTCACTGTGATGCCACTTTGCTTAGTCATCGGCCACAGGGTCACCTGGAGAAGAGCATGAGCTCAGCATAAAAGCAAGGCCCACCCTGCAGGGGCCAGCAGCTGGGAGCTGTCCACTAACCACTATCCTTGCAGCTGGACAGCGAGGCCCCTCCAAAAGGCCGTCTCCACCTGCCACCGGGAAAGGACCCGGAGCGAAGGATGTCGTGGGCGGTCAGCCCAGGTGATTGCCCTTCTTTTGCTTTGGAGCCAGGCAGAACAGAGCTCAAATTCCAGCTTTGGGACAGTGTGTGGCCCAGAAGGCTGTAACTGCGGAGTTAACACTCTCCAGTTTCCCTAGATGGCCCGACCTGGCCGGTGACTCGGGGATGATGAAGCTCCTGGAGCCTCAGCGTGCTCACTTGAGAGGTAGGGCAGCGCTTTGTACTTCACAGGGCCATGGGGACAGGCTCAGGGCCTGGCACTCTAGTGACCGGCTTCATGCTGGGTCACTGACTAGGGAATCCACACACCTTTTTAGTCCAGACTGAGTAGGTAAATCAGACTTAATAAACATCCAGCTTCCTGCTCGAGATCAGCCTAGTTGTCCTAAGTCTGACAAGATTGAACTTTATTCACAGCACGAGGCATAAATGATATAAAGGTAAGCAATTTTAGGGGACCCAAAAAACTAGGGACTCCTACTTGGGTAGCTTAGAAGGGGAATCTCTCTTGGAGATCCTGGCTTTGCTGCCTCAAACCCAGCTGTCTCTTCAAGCCAAGTCTGGGAGAATCTCATGATCTTATCCTTGCTCCAATTTACTTACACCCCACATCCACACTAAGCTCTTCCTGCCTCCCGTGGAATATTAACTTACACCTGACTTCAGACTCCTGCCCCTATGCAGACCCAGCAGTATGCGGGCCTAGGAGGTTTTTCGGCCACAAGGAACTAGAGAAGCCACTCATTTTGTCCCCTCTCATTCACCCCATTCTGTCCCCATCGGATGCCTTGGGAGGAGAGAAGGAAGGACAAATGGGTGTCCCGTGACCCAACCCAGATGAAGACAGAGCCATTTATCACAGAGACCCAGACACATCCTAACTCTGGAAAATGGGCATATTGAGGGGAGCTGGAAAGCAGAAGGGAAACGGGCGTGGGCAGGGAAGAGGTGAACAGGAGTGCGCACGCCCAGTTCTCCAGGATCTCACGCTCCTAATCAGGATCCTATAAGACTCAAAGGGGACGCAGGAAAGACCTGGGCCTGGAAATTCACTTCCGGACTCCTCCTGTATCCTGGCTGGCCCTCGTTTGTGTCTCCCTCCAGGGATGATGCCCGGATGGAAGGAGGAGCCACGTTCCTCCACAGGTGTCCTCCACAACAGGTGTCCTCACAACAGGTGTCGTAACAACAGGTGTCCTCACAACAGGTGTCCTAATACTCCCGCAGCCCCTCAGCATCTACAGGCTCACTCCCACCCTACAACCTTTCAGATAGGTGTTATCCCCATTTTACAGGTGAACGAGGAAAACAGCTCGAAGAGGCTGTGACTTTGTGGTGACGCGGTGGCAGAGCTGGGATCAAGCCCAGGTTTGTAACGCCCTCCTGGAGTCTCGGCCGTCACAGCAGCTTCCGGAGAGCGCTGTGTGCCTCTGGCCTTCCTGGCATGGGAAAGAGGTCAGCTACCTGTGTTCGGTCAACAAGATGTCCAGCGCTTAGTTTGGTCTCACCTGGATGCTCCTTTCTCCTCTAGAGATGGAAAACTGTTGTCCTGAAAGCGTCACCAAACAAAACCTGTGGAAAGGTAATGGGGGGACCCACGAGCAAGAGCTGACAGAAAAATGACCACGGGCCGGGTGCAGTGGCTCACGCCTGTAATCCCAGCACTTTGGGAGGCCAAGGCGGGCGGATCATCTGAGTTCAGGGGTTCGAGACCAACCTGGCCAACATGGTGAAACCTCGTCCCTACTAAAAATACAAAAAAAATTAGCCGGGCGTGGTGGCAGGTGCCTGTAGTCCCAGCTACTAGGGAGGCTGAGGCAGGGGAATGGCGTGAACCCGGGAGGCGGAGCTTGCAGTGAGCTGAGATGGTGCCACTGCACTCCAGCCTGGGCGACAGAGCAAGACTCCATCTCAAAAAAAAAAAAAAGTGCAAAATGATCACGAAGGCCAAGCTGGGCCTTGGTGTCTGCGAATTCCCTGCAGTAGGTCCCTCCTGCTGCCCCGTCCAGGCGCCCACAGGATGCTCCACATGACTCTTTACCTTTATGATTTTCTTACCTCCAGGAAAGAACAGGGTCAGCTCGTCCACCCAGAGCTGGAGGGACTGTTGGGGGACCACGCCACTTCCCCACGGTATCCGCATTATTATGGCGTGGCCCAGGCTTTGGCCTGGGGCCATGAACAGACTTTCAGCTTCTAGAAGCAAGTGGTCACAGGGCCTCCGTGACCCTCGGAGACAGCGCCACAGCGTCGGTTGCCTACTCCTTGCTGGACAAGGCTGGCTCTGCTTGGGAATGCAGAAACCCTGAGTCCTTGTCCTGGGCCCCACAGTGTCTGAGCATCGAAGGTCCCTGCTCTGGGACGAGTCACCCCACAGACACCCCACATTCGGGAATCAAGTCTTGAGGAATCAGAAGCAGAGATTCACACTGTGGCAAAGAGGGGAGCGGAGGTATCCCCGTTTTCCTTTGCAGAGAGCTACACCAACTGCCCTCTTCGTCTTTACAACCCTACTTGGGGTCCCTTTCCCTCCTCGCTTGTGCCTGTGAGTTCCAAGAGGTGGAACTGGGGTGAGCAGAGCCCCCAGGTCTCCAGGAGCAGCTCCACCTCCTCACAGGTTACAGTCGCTTCCTCCTACCGAGGTTCTGCCTTCAACCCACTGCCCATGCCAGCTCCCTCAGGCCAGTCTCCCAGACTGTCCCTGGCTCCCTGCACCCTGGCTCCAGCTCCCTGCCCTGGAAAGAAGAAGTCCACCATCTGGTGAGGGTCTGCCACGCATCTGGGGTCTGCCATGCGTCTGCACTGAGGTTCTGCCACGAGTCTGCACTGAGGTTCTGCCATGCGTCTGGAGTCTGCCACGCGTCTGGGGTCTGCCACGCGTCTGGAGTCTGCCATGGGTCTGGGGTCTGCCATGTGTCTGGGATCTGCCGTGCGTCTGGGGTCTGCCACGCATCTGCACTGAGGTTCTGCCACGCGTCTGGGGTCTGCCACGCGTCTGGGGTCTGCCACGCGTCTGGGGTCTGCCACGCGCCTGCACTGAGCAGATATTCCAAGCACACCACCCCTTTCCAAAAGACGGCATACAGTGCATTTCTGTTCCTGCCCCTCACCCACATGGTTCCCCGCTTCCCAATTCCTTGGGGTCTGCTTAAGTCTCACTCTCTTTCCCCCATTCATACAGCCCCAAGGTCGCTCCCTCTGGGGCCCTTTCTTCCCCATTCTTCCCAGCAGCCCAAAGCTCTGGTGGGACAGGGGCAGCCCCTGGGGAGGGAGGAGAGGACCCAGGAACCCGGCTAGGAGGGTGGCCCACCCATTTCCAGTGTGACCTGTTCCCATTCCCCCATGTCTCCTCCCATCCCTCCCGCCACTCAGCTCAGGCTGATGAGAAGCAGAGCAACGGGTGTATCGGTGTTTTCTTTCCTGGTGGGGTAGTGGGGTGGGGCTGAGGAGAGAAAAGGGTGATTAGCGTGGGGCCCCGCCCTCTTTTGTCCTCTTCCCAGGTTCCCTGGCCCCTTCGGAGAAACGCACTTGGTTCGGGCCAGCCGCCTGAGGGGACGGGCTCACGTCTGCTCCTCACACTGCAGCTGCTGGGCCGTGGAGCTTCCCCAGGGAGCCAGGGGGACTTTTGCCGCAGCCATGAAGGGGGCACGCTGGAGGAGGGTCCCCTGGGTGTCCCTGAGCTGCCTGTGTCTCTGCCTCCTTCCGCATGTGGTCCCAGGTAAGTGATGGAGACAGCAGATGAGGCTGGCTGCGGGGAGCACTTGGGGGAGGTGGGAGCTGTCAGAGAAAGAGGTCCGGGGAGACAGAGAGAGAGAGAGAGAGAATAGGGGAAAGGGAGACAGCGAAGAGGAAGAGAAGGGAGAGAAAAAGAGGGAGAGGGAAAGGAGAAAGAGATGAATGGGACAACATGGGGGGAAGGTGGAGAGAGACCCAGAGAGGGAAAGAAGAGGAAGAGAAGAGGGAGAGAGAAAGAAGAGTGGAGGCCGTGCGCGGTGGCTCATGCCTGTAATCCCAGCACTTTCGGAGGCCAAGGCAGGAGATCACCTGAGGTCAGGAGTTCGAGACCAGCCTGGCCGACATGGTGAAACCCCGTCTCTACTAAATATACAAAAATTAGCCGGTCGTGGTGGGCCCCACCTGTAATTCCAGCTACTCAGGAGTCTGAGGCAGGAGAATCACTTGAACCTGGGAGGTGGAGGTTGCAGTGAGCCAAGATCGCGCCACTGCACTCCAGCCTGGGAGAGAGAGCGAGACTCTGTCTCAAAATAAATAAATAAATAAATAAATAAATAAATAAATAAATAAATATAAAATAAAATAAAAAATAAGAAGAGGAGAAAAGTGGGGAAGAGGAGGCATGAACTGGCAGATACGGGACAAGATCTGAGGGGAAAGACAGAGGGAGAATGCTCGAAAGAGAGAGAAAAGAGAACAGAGGGCCAGAGAGCAGCCCGGCGATGTCTGGAAGGATCCATGGTGAGAGCCCAGGCTTACTCGCAGAGAGAAAGACAGGCAGAGCCAGAGCAAGAGGAACAGAGTCAAGGAGAAAGATGTACACCCTTGTGTACAGAGCTGGGGGTAGAGGGGATGCCAGGAAAGCTGGGTGATGGAGACGGAAGAAAACTCATGTAAAGCTGCAGGGTGAGAGGACGAGACAGGTGAGACGCAGACAAACTGAGGACCCTGGGAATGGAGAGAGGAGAAGATCGGGAGACAGCAGCAAGCAAGGGAAGCGACAAGGAGGAGAGGGGCAGGCCGGCCGGGAGGGTGGTGCGGAGGAGGCGGCCAGGGCGCAGAGGGCCGGGAGGTGCTGGCCGTGGGCTTCTTACCTCTGAGCTCGGGTTTAAAAGCCTCCATTTGGGTCACGGCCTTGCCTGGGGCTCGTAGCCCCGGCATTGGCCTTGGGCTCCTCCGTGTACAGAGCTGGGAGGGGAGGGATGCCAGGCCTGTGGGAGATGTTCCCTCGGGGGCCCCCGTCCTCTTCCCCACACTTTCCAGGCTGTCCCTCTGGCTTCAGGACCAAGTTTTATTCTGTGTTTCTGGGTGTCTGAGTCTTTGGGGGAGAGTCTGGGGTCCAGAGTTCAAGCTGGGGTTAGAGTCTCAGCTCCTGCCCTGCCTCTCAGCAGGCTAAGAACAGTCGCCGAGGGAAAATATTTCTTGGGCGCATATTTGAGGAGCTTCCTGGGAGTGAGTCAGAAGGCGAGTGCCGTTTAAAGGCTGCAAGAGAAGCCATGCTGGTGAAGCGGACCCTTCCACCTCGGGATGTTTCAGGACTAGGCTGAGGGCAAAGGAAACTGCCACCACCTCCCTACACCTCCCCACCCTCCAGCACCCCCACCCCACCCTGGCCACACAACCCCGCTCCAGTGCTCATCCCACCGTGAGGACGTGGAGGCCGGAAGGAGCCGCCACACGGCCCTGCCCTGCAGATGTGGTTGAAGGAGTCTCCACGGGAATCATGACTCCCAGAGCGAGGCTGGGGCTTGGGGCGCCGGGGAGGCAGCTTGGATTTAGGAGCCCCAGGGCCAAGTCTTTGCCGTGAACTGTTCTGGCCCCTGTGACCAGGCCCTGCCCCGTGTCTCCCCAGGGCCCCGGTCCCCTGTGTAAAAAGCAGTGGTGAACGGTTGGACCTCCTGACGCCCAAGTTCTTGAGTTTCCAAATCTGTGATTTAAAGCTGAGCCCAAATGTGCTGGGTACCAGCTGGACACTCAGCTCCATGTGGAGCCAGGAAGTGGGGTCTGTGGAGAGGAGCGCAGAGGGGCAAGACCTGGGGTGGGCGTGGAAAAGCACGGGGGCGTGACCCGGAGAAGGAGTGAAGGACTGTTGGTGTGCAAGGGCGTCTCCATGACGACCCGAAGAAGCTAGGCATGTCGTGGAGCGCTGAGTCCTTTGCGTCGCTAAGGGGACCAAGTGGAGCTGGGCCAGGAGAGGAGATGGTCGTGGCTGGGAGATGGCACCCACACATCTGACCGGGCATGACCAGGGCCTTGGCAGGAAAAGCAGTCACCAAGGGCGGGTGGGCAGCCCCCACCCCCACAGGGCAGCTGCTGGAGGACTGGCAGCCAGCCAGCCCCGTTCCTTTTGGCTCCCTGAAGGGGTTTACAGATGACCTGCCTATACTTGAGTCTAGGGTCTGTTTGCACACTTGCCGGCAGGACCCTCACCCAGGCTGGGTCACACTGAAGCCCAGGCCAGAGGAAAAACACAGGGTTTCCACAAAGGAGCTGCCGCAATGAGGGTTTCCTTAAGGAACAGCCCTGGCTCTCAAGGGTTAAAGGATAAGGCACAGCAGACAGAGGTGGGCTAGACAAGGACAGATGGAAATTTGGTGTCTACTGGTCGCCCCAGGCAGGAATGACTCAGAAGGAAGCCTGGCCGTCCTGGTTCCATGCCACAGGGAAAGGCAACTGGGTCGAAATAGGCCTTGGTCTCCAGCACTATCAGTGACCCCAGGGAGGTGACAGGCTGGAGCAAGTGCAGGGCAGGCAGGGGAGGGGACGCCGGCCACAGCGCACTCCACGGGGAAGGGTCTTTATGGGCCCCTCCTCGGAGAACCCCCGGTCTATCTGTCAGTCTGGGACAGGCCACCTCAACTTGCCACCGAGGACACCAAAACTCTCCACAGACCCCTCTGCCCCTCTGGGAAACCCCACTGTGCTCCAGGACACTCAAAAGGAAAGGATCCCTGGACAAGAGGTCCTGCCAGGAACATCAGCCAAATTTTGGCCAACGACCAGCAAGGTGCACAGGGAAGAGCAGGGGCTGAAACTCAGAGGTCCAGCATCAGCGACGCCCTTGGCAGCCCAGGGAACACAGGCAACGCCTTTTGGCTCTGGAGTCTTAGGCTCTTCATCGGCAAACTGAGCCCAGGGGGAAGGGGCTACTACGTAGGGTTGTCATGAGGATGAAACGAGACAGCATCTGGTGTAAAGTAGAAAAGGCATAAAGGGCCGGGCGCGGTGGCTCACGCTGTAATCCCAGCACTTTTGGAGGCCCAGGCGGGTGGATCACCTGAGGTCAGGAGTTCAAGACCAGCTTGGCCAACCCTGTCTCCACTAAAAATAAAAAATTTTGCCGGGCGTGGTGGCGAGCGCCTGTAATTCCAGCTACTCGGGAGGCTGAGGTAGGAGAATGGCTTGAACCTGGGAGGCAGAGGTTGCAGGGAGCCGAAATGGCAGCACTCTAGCTTGGGTGACAGAGCAAGACTCTGTCTAAAAAAAAAAGAAAAGCCATAAAGACGTGTTTGAGAAAGAGGCCTGGGAAGACGGGGGAAGGAGGGTGATTGAACCCGGAATGGCACTTGTGTCGGCCCAGGGTCATATCCCTTCATCTAAGGATCCTCGTGCCTCTAAAAAGCCACCCCGTGCTTCCTGTGGGTTTGCAAGGGCTGGCTTGGTGTATTCAGAATGTGGCTTGCTGCATGAACGGACCCCGAGGGCCATGGCCCTAGAGCAGGGGCTCGCTCCAGCGGACAGCTCTGCCTCACCGCTCCCTGCCTGTGAGTCCCGCCACGCCCTTGGTTTCTGGGCTCAGCCGTGGAGGCAGAGGCTGGCCTGGCAGAGGCTGGCCTGGCAGTGCTTGACACGCAAGTGATTTGTGTCTTCATTGCTAAGGACAAGAGGCAATGAGAGGACAAGAAGTGGTTGGCCTTTTGTACGCTCAACGGGTGGTTTTGCTACTCTGTGTCTTTTCTCTGATTTCACGGTGCTGTTAAGTGCTTAAAATATGCACATCGTGTAGCTCACAGAGCCACTTCTCTGAAGGCCAGGACAGAGACCTTATAGGCTCTCTCTCCCCCTAGTTTCAGCCTTTTACCTTAAATATACGTCTTTCTTACTGCTAGGCTGAGTTCCCGCCCCAGCATGTTCTGAGAAATTGAGTCAAAATAACTGAGTCTGTTGGCACCTCATCGACGATTTCTTCATAGACGGTTTTTTTATTGTTGCTGTTGTTGTTGGTTTTTTGGGTTTGTTTGTTTGTTTTTTGAGACAGAGTTTCTCTCTGTCCCCCAGGCTGCAGTGCAGTGGCGTGGTCTCAGCTCAGTGCAGCCTCTGCCTCCCGGGTTCAAGAGATTCTCCTGCCTCAGCCTCCCGAGTAGCTGGGATTATAGACGCCCAACACCACAGCGGCTAATGTTTGTATTTTTAGTAGAGATGGGGTTTCACCATGTTGGCCAGGCTGGTCTCGAACTCCTGACCTCAGGTGATCCGCTCGCCTCGGCTCCCAAAGTGCTGGGATTATAGGCGTGAGCTACTGTGCCTGGCCCTACTTCATAGAGGTTTAAATGCCTTTTCACCCTTTTCCTGGAGACTCTGAAGAAGTCTCAGGAACTGGGCATTTGTGTTGCACGTGAGGCCTTGCAATGGCGGCCCTGCTTGGAGGAAGGGCACTGGCCTGGGTTGCCCGCAGCTCCACTCCCCGTGTATGTGTTTAGGGACCACAGAGGACAGACATCGACTCTCTGTAGAGATGCCGCCCCGCCCAGGTTGCAGTTTAGGTTCCAAAAGTCCAGTGGCCAGTGGATTTTGGGGGAATTTGGAATAAGAAACAGCCTAGACTTTGGAGTTGTTCATTCACTTGCAGAATTTCTACTCATGCCAGCTGCTCTGGACAGGAAGATGAATGCGTCACAGTTCCTGCTTTTCAAAGCTCTCTAAGTTAAGTGACTTGTTTAAGATCATAGAACCCATAAGTGAGGCAGCTGGGACTAGAACCCAGGTCTCCTGACTCACTGCAGCACACAGCCTTTCGGCAATCTCCAAACCAGCCCAGCCCACCGACGGAGGGAAGAACAGAAGCATTCACACACCCTGCTGAGACAGCCATTCATTCATTCATTTGTTAATTAAACCACCATTTAGGAAACGCCTGCCTTAAGTTCCTGACATTGTTCTAGGACACAGCACTGGATGCACACAGTGAAGAGTGAAACAGACGTGGCCCAGTCTCTTGGCACTAAAATCTTGGTGCAGACAGACATCAAATAATTACGGAAATGTTCTCAACTGCACATGTGGTAAATGCAGTGTGGAAAAGTACAGGGTGTGCTGAGAGCTGCATTTCGAATGGCCAGAGAGTAGGGGAGGTGCATCTGACTGACAAGTCAGGAAGGGCCCTGTGAGGAACCGTTCTGCGGGGAGCTGAGGCCTGAGGCTGAGGACAGCCAGGTGGAGAAGGTGCCAGGCCTGAGCAGGCAGAGGCGGAGCTCATGGAGAGGCAGGAAAGAGCTTGGCCCCTTGGAGGACTTGAAAGAGAAGGCAGGTGTTAGATCGCGCAGGGCTTTGCAAGCTGTGGAATAGATTATGAATTTTATGTTATTTTATTTATTTATATTTTTGAGACAGAGTCTCACTGTGTCACCCAGGCTGAAGTGCTGTGGCGTTATCTCGGCTCACTGCAACCTCTGCCTCCAGGGTTCAAGGGATTCTCGTGCCTCAGCCCCCCGAGTAGCTGGGATCACAGGCACATGCCACCATGCTCTGCTGATTTTTGTATTTTTAGTAGAAATGGGGTTTTGCCATGTTGGTCAGGCTAGTCTCGAACTCCTGACCTCAAGTGATCTGCTTACCTTGGCCTCCCAAAGTGCTGGGATTACCAGTGTGAGCCACTGCGCCCGGCCCAGATTATGGATTTTGAGTAATTGAAATGACAGACAAGGCCAGGCACAGTGACTCATGGCTGTCATCCCAGCACTCTGGGAAGCTGAAGCGGGCAGATCACTTGAGGTCAGGAGTTTGAGACCAGACTGGCCAACATGGCAAAACCCCGTCTCTACTAAAAATACAAAAATTAGCAGGAGATGGTGGTGGGCACCTGTAATCCCAGCTACTCAGGAGGCTGAGGCAGGAGAAGCACTTGATTCCAACTGGGATCACAGGCACACACCACCACACCAGGACAGCCCGAGGCTAACCACTGTGGAGAGGCAGCCAGGCTCCTGAGGACAGCGCTAGGCTAGGAGGATGTGCCTGCCCCAGTGGGAGCCAGGAGAGATGGGTGGCAACACCAAGATGGTGGAGACTGGAGATGGCACCTCCGAGAAGGAGGCGTTGGGGAAAAGAGAGTTGAGCTGGCCGGCGTGCTGTGCTCACAGCCGGATTTTGGTGCTTCTTGGTTTGGTGCTGGAGCTTCTGTGGCGATCACCAGAGTGGCTGGGTGCTGCCACACCAGATGCTGACAGAAATGAGGTCAAATGACCGGTGGTGGGATCCATGGGTTGGGGTGTGACTTCGGCGGGGATCGTTGGAAAGAACGGGTAAAGTTCTCGCCTTGGAGTCCACTGTGAAGGGACTTGAACCTGGGAGGTGGAGGTTACAGTGAGCTGAGATCGCACCACTGCACTCCTGCCTGGGCGACAGAGCGAGACTCCATCTCAAAAAAAAAAAAGATAAAGATAAAGAAACAGGCAACGTCACCCTCTCTCCAGCCTCGGCTGAAGGCAACAAAGGCCACAGGGCCTGGGATGTATTCCACAGATGTGTACGAAGTCACTGCTGTATGCCAAGTCTCGTTTCAGGCGCTGGAGATCACAAGAGGTCTGTTATTCCAAGGGTATCTTGAGTTAGTGTCTTTCCTCATCTTGAATTCTAGGGAAGTACCCAGTGGACACAACCCTGGTCACAGTTGATTCTGGGCTGATACACAAATAGCATTAGCTCCCTGCCAAAGGCGGTGGGGCCAGCGGTTCAGCGTCTGCGCGCCTTCCGGGCCGCCTGCTGCCTGTGTGGGGCTGAATGTTCTCCTCAAGGCCATCCTTACCGTTGGGCACTTCCCTTGGGCTTACACTGCCCTGCCCGAGGCAGCCTGGCAAGGGGCCCCACCCGTCAGGAAGTAATTCCCCTCCAGGAAAGTGAAACACTGTGGCGATACGGCTTACGGGTTCCTCACCTCCAGTTCCAGGAAAAACCCAAGACAAACAGACCAGATGCTAGGAATAAGCCTCAACCCACAGCACTTAGAAAGCCGCAGGCTTTGTGTGTCTTCAGGGAGTGGCTTCACCCTTCTTGGAATCTGTCTTCTGCCAGCGTCACTCATACTGCTGCCACTCCTTCTCCCGAGCCAACAGCACACCTGTCACCTCGGCACACCTGTGGAGTCACCAGAGGGGCCATCTGGGGAAAACGATGCCTACTGCCACTCGGCCTTCACATCCTGGAGCCCTAACAGACGTGAGGCAGCTGTGGGCCGTCTCCCACCTGACGTGGTTCAAGGAGAGAAAAGAACTACCTTGATGGGAGATCTCTGGCTGACGTGATGGCAGAGGCTTGACAGAGCCTTCAAGGACTCAGATGTGGGGAACGTCTCTACCTCAGTGCCAACGCCAGTGCCCTCCTCGTCCCTGGATGGAGACTCTTCCTCTGAGAGAATGTCTTAAAAACTATCCGTTTTACTCAATGACACACGTGTGTCTTCTCACAGTGATCTTGTCACCTTAAGGTGTCAACAGCCTTCACACTCACTCTAACATCATCCCAGAAAAGAGACACCAGGAACATTGCAAAAACACCCCAGTGTCACAGCGTCCACCCCGAGAATGTGCCTGGCTCGGCCTCAGGCTCAGAGCCCTCTGCATGTGGCAGTCCAAGAACTTGGGGCAGGTCAGTGACCATTTCTCCATCTTTGCCTCAGCTCTCCATCCACTCGGTGGCAGTCCCAGAGCTGAGCAGCTCGCAGCTTCCGAGCAATGGCTCTTACCCCGAGCCCCCGGCCCTGCTACTTCCAAGGCATATAATATCACTCGGTCTCTTCAAATCTCAATTTCCCTGCCTGTGAAATGGGGCCGCTGAATCTCGATTTCCCCGCCTGTGAAATGGGGCCGCTATTAACAAGATAAGCTATAAAGCACCACATGAACATGAGCTGTGAACATTTGTATTATTCATAGAGTCATAACGTGCCTACGAGAGAAGTAAAAAGAAGCCCCACCTCCCTGGTGTGTTCATCACAAGTCAGCTGACCCTCAGTCACTCGACCCAGCGCAGATGCGGAGGCTCTCGCTGCTTGCAGAGAGTTTATATTATATTAAACGGATAGTTTAATTCATAAGGTCTGGTAGGAAGAACGTGAATTTATTAACCAAAACTAGTAAAGGGGAAGCAGCCAGAT
Organism: Homo sapiens; assembly: GCF_000001405.40. Taxonomy (NCBI): domain Eukaryota; kingdom Metazoa; phylum Chordata; class Mammalia; order Primates; family Hominidae; genus Homo; species Homo sapiens. Next base: position 181,167 of record NT_187532.1, on the reverse strand, counting down.
TTCTACTTAAAGTAGCTGCTTTAATTTTCAGAGGGGAAAGCCTTGATAAGGAAGGCACGCAAGAATCGGGCTGAGTCCTGTGTCCGCATGTCTTGTTCTGGTGGCTCTTCTGGGTCCCAGTCCGTCCGGACCTCTGGCTGACATTATTTTAACAAGAGCTGTCTTGAAGTAATTTCTGGGATTTTGCAGCTGGATTTTCAGATGTGGTTTGTCTCTCTCAAGGTTTTAGCCCCTGCAACTTTTAGGAAGACATATAATTCGATCCTCGCACGCAGAGAAATGGAAGGGAGTATATACAGACAGTAAGAAAAGGGAGGGAGTGTATACAGATGACAAGAAAAGGGAGGGAGTGTGTACAGACGGTGAGAAGAGGGAGGGAGTGTGTACAGATCGTGAGAAAAGGGAGGGGCGTGAAGTCTATTTTTAGGCTGAGGAAAACGGCCTTTGCAGCTGCCTCAAGGTTGTATTTGGAAACCCAAGAGAAAGGGGAAAACATGTTTAAAATGCATTTTGAATTTAAGCTGCCGGCTACAAAACTGAACAATGTCTCCCGCAGAAACGAGAAATCCCTTGGCGTGGCCATTTCTTATTACAGAAGCCACCCTGCCACGCACACAGACGCGCTGGAAGTATCTTTCCTCAGTCACAACCAGACGAAGGTCATTCTTGCCCAGTGGCCTCCCTCTGAGGATTCTGGTTTCTGACATCCGTGTCACAATGGCAATGCCAGTCACCAGTCTCTGACCACTAGACCCACGCCCCCGGGACCTACGCAGACACCCAGGACCAATGCCAGTCACCAGTCTGTGACCCCAGGACCTACCAGACACCTTCCAGGGCAGGCAGGGCAGGCCATTTTCCAAAGCAATTCGAGCTAAGGAGACAGCAGCAGCAACCCTCCCTCCTGGCCCTCAGAGCTGAGGATCAACCCACAGGGGTGCGGTGGAGGCTGAGAGCAGGGGTGCGGAACCCGAGTCAGCAGGGGCAGTGAGGAGGCTGCCGCAGTAGTCAAAGCGACGGGGAGGATGTGGCAAAGCAAACAAGAGGACGCGATGGGGTGAACACTTGGGAGGAAGATCAACGAGTACTGACTAGGACACAGGGGACAAGGAAGAGAAAGAAATCCAGAGGACCCACAGCTTTCTGGGCTGGATGTCTGGGGGACTGTTGTTAGCATGAACAGAAGGAAGGAAGAAAGCTTGCAAGGAAAGATTGACCTGGACCTGTTGCATTGCATGAGCTAGGCAGGAAATCCCTGGGAGGGTGAGGCCAGCATATGGGTGGGAAGTCAGGGAGAAGTACAGATTTGTAAGGCGTGAGAGTAGACGCAGGGTGGCCAGAGAGGGAGGGGCAGCAGGAGAGGGAAAGGGCTGGAGACATGTCATCTGGGCGTGGAGCGGGGGAGAGAGGTGGCAAGGGGAGTGGAGTGGAGGGCCCGGGAGCGTGGACGGTGGAGCAGGACCCGTCAGCTTCAATGAGGGTGAGGCTGGGTGGTGGCACGGGGCCGCCGGCCAGGGAGAGCACGTGGAGGGGGGGGCGCAATACACATCTGTCAGATTCATGAATGAATGAATGGATGGGGCCGAACTGATGAGACGCGTGAGGACTGGAGAAAATCGTTTTTGCTGTTGGGAAGGAGATTCTGGTAGCTCTGAGGAAAACGGCTTGAGCGAAGTGAGTGAGGTGGGGGCAGAGCGAGCAGTGCGTGGTAAAGAAGAGGCGGCAGGGGAAGCCCGGCTTTCATGCTGCTGGAGGGACGAGGAGGACACAGACGGATGACAGACTTGTTTTAGGCCAACAGACACCTGAACATGCTCACAGGCAGGAGAGAAGGAGAAAGGCAGAAAGAACGTCGGAGACACAGAGGCAGAGCAGTGAGCCATCCGGGCAGGAGGGAGCCCCGGGGCCCCGGGGAGGGTGCGGAGAAGGCTCTGGGCATTGAAGGAGATGAAGGGCACGGCTTTGGTTCTTTCAGTGAAGTAGAAAATGGAGGGTCACGGGGAGAGAAGAGAGAGGAGAGACCTGTTTCTCTCCAATATCAACTCTTTAGGCGCAAATCTCCCAGCTCTCTGCTCCCCAAGTTTATGCGTTTGGCCAGAGTGAGAACAAGTTTCAGTTGTCTGACAATCTGACGGAACCTGAAGGGCCTGACTTGCATCCTGGTGAGAGCCAAGGTCAGTTCATTCTGGCCAACACTTGAGCAGCAAGAACAAGGCTATGAGTATTTTTTAGAATAAAACTTGATCAAGGCTTCAAATTTCTCTGCCTGACAACTTCAGCGAGATGGTTTTGGCTTACAAACATTGTTAAGAGTGGATACTATCATTTTATTTTAAGGGAAGTGTTTCTGAACGTGGGGTCCACGGACCACCTGCATCAGAATCACTCTGGACATGTGTTAAAATGCTGATGCACCCTCTGCCTTTTGAGAACCACTTTTTTTTTTTTTTTTTTTTTCAGAGAAGGGGTCTTGAGCTATTGCCCAGGCTGGTCTCAAACTCCTGGCCTCAAGGAATCCTCCCGCCTCTGCCTGTCCGTGCTGGGATTTTAGGCATGAGCTACCATGCCCAGCTGAGAACCATTTTCTTACCAAAAATCATTCTCCATAGTCTCTCCATCCACTAGGATTTCTTTCTTTTTCTTCTTTGTAAAGATAGGTCATACTTGAACACAGGATTTCTTACCTACAAATAACCTACTCAAGCTTAGTAGATTGAGTTATCTGCAAATTGTTTTCCTAAACAGCTGAATAATCAATCTATTGCAGGAGTGGCTTCAGAGGTATTGTTTAAATGATGGTGAAAGACAAATGCAATAACTGTAGTTTTGTCGTAACGAATGCTAATCTCTTCCTCCTCACAAGCCCAACAGATTGAGAGATTTTGACAGCGCCTTCTCCCCTAGACAATAAAACTATGTCCTCCACATGCAGTGACTCACTTGCCCTCCTATTTGCGGCAGCAGGAAACTCTAATCAACTTGGCTCAAGATGAGCAAGTTCTCTAAATAAAGATTTAAAAGGAGGACTACCAGGACACAGCCCTGTTTAGCAAGAATTTTTTTTTTTTTTGAGATGGAGTCCCGCTCTGTCGCCCAGGCTGGAGTGCAGTGGCGCGATCTCGGCTCACTGCAACCTCCACCTCCCAGGTTTGAGAGATTCTCCTGCCTCAGCCTCCTGAGTAGCTGGGATTACAGGTGCACGCCACCATGCCTGGGTAATTTTTGTATTTTTAGTAGAGATGGGGTTTCATCATGTTGGCCAGGCTGGTCTTGAACTCCTGACCTCAAATGATCCACCCGCTTCGACCTCCCAAAGTGCTGGGATTACAGGTGTGAGGCACCGCACCTGGCCGATTTTCAGTCGATGCTGTGAAGCAAAGAGCAGCAGGTGAGGGATGGGGCCTGTCCTGGATCATGCCCCTTTGTTCACAGGCTAGGGATATGGGGAAACAGGCACACTCTTGCACACTGCCAACAGGTCTGTAAATTGGCATAAGCTTTCTGCAAAGAAATTTGGCAGTCTGTATTAATAACATGAAAAATTTTATAACGGCATAAACCAGCAATTCCACTGATAGAAATTTATGTTAAGGAGATGAGCTGAAATAATGTAAACAAAACATTAGACACGAAGATAGTCATCAGGGCTTTATTTAAAATAAGCAATACATTGGAAATATCCTAATTGTCCAACAGTAAGTTAACAATATGAGCTTTCTCTATGATGGCTTATTATTTAGTGTTTAGGCCGGGCGCGGTGGCTCACGCCTGTAATCCCAGCACTTTGGGAGGCTGAGGTGAGTGGATCACCTGAGGTCAAGAGTTTGAGACCAGCCTGGCCAACATGGTGAAACCCAGTCTCCACTAAAAATACAAAAAATTAGCCTGGCATGGTGGCACATGCCTGTAATCCCAGCTACTTGGGAGGCTGAAGCAGGAGAATCACGGAGGTGGAGGTTGCAGTGGGCCGAAATCGTGCCGTTGCACTCCAGCCTGGGCAACAAGAGTGAAACTCCATCTGGAAAAAAAAATGTTTAAAGGCTATGTCCAATGTTCCATAAGGGCAGGGACACACACACACAGTGTCACACACACACACACACACACACACACACACAGTGTCACACATACATACTAGCAACACACAGAACGGGCATAAAGTAAGATGTATTAAGGAGAAATTGCGAGCAGGGAGCAGTGGAGTCCACATGACCCCCGAGCTCTCATTGCACAGAGAGGTGGGTATGGTGGACACACAGCAGGATGTGGTACAGGAGAGAGACCTGCTCCTGTTTAACAGAAAATGGGAAGGGTAACAACGCTTCCAGTTGGGGGAGTGGCTTTGTTAGGAAGGAGGCCACCAGAGCTCAGCAGGGGGAGTTTTTATACAGCACCCTAGATTTTACTATGGAGCTGAGCTCTCCCAGTCCCCCTGAGCCAGCTCTTGTAGGACTCCAAAAGGGGGAAGCAAGGAACTGCCATCCAAGACATAAAAGATGTGCGTCTTCTCAGGCTATGTTTACGAAGCTAGTATCTTGAAGAAATGCTCATATCAGGTATGGCTAAAAAGGCAGGATACAAAATTATGTATACTGAATAAGTTAAACTATACATATATATTTTTTAATTTTTAATTTTTTTTTTGAGACGGAGTCTCACTCTGTCACCCAGGCAGGAGTGCAGTGGTGCAATCTCGGCTCACTGCAAGCTCCGCCTCCCCGGGTTCACGCCATTCTCCTGCCTCAGCCTCCCGAGTAGCTGGGACTACAGGCGCCCGCCACCACGCCCGGCTAATTTTTTTGTATTTTTAGTAGAGACGGGGGTTCGCCCTGTTAGCCAGGATGGTCTCGATCTCCTGACCTCATGATCCGCCCACCTCAGCCTCACAAAGCGCTGGGATTACAGGTGTGAGCCACCACTCCTGGCCTAAACTATATATTTTTTAAAGCATAAAAACATCCTGGAAGGAAGCATTGTCTGGTAGCAAGATTATGGGTTTTGATCTTTCAACTATAAATGTTCCCAAATGCACGTAACCAGTATGTGTGTTTTCTTTGGCATATTTCAATGCAGTTGTACAATTTTGTCCATAAAGATTAAGCACATCTTTTGTTAGATTTATTTTTATGTACTTTTTTTGGTCACCATCATAAACACTATAGTCTTAAAAATATTTTCTCTTTCACTGATATATAGGAATGCAGTTTTATTTTGTTTTTAAATCTCTTTTTGAGACAGAGTCTCCCTCTGTCATGCAGGCTGGAGTACAGTGGGGTGATCATAGCTCACTGCAGCCTCGAACTCTTGGGCTCAAGTGATCCTCCCCCCTCAACTTCTGAGTAGCTGGAACTATATGTGTGTGCTACTATGCCCAGCTAATTTTTTATTTTTTTATTTTTTATTTCTGTAGAGACAGGATCTTGCTATGTTACCCAGGCTGGTCTTGAACTCCTGGCCTCAAGTGTTCCTCCTGCCTCAGCCTCTCAAAGCACTGGGATTCAGGCATGAATCACCACACCCAGCTGGAATGCAATTATTTTTAAAATTTTGATTATGGATATAGAACTTTGCTAATAATGTATATGTTTGGGAAGTTTCTATGTAAACAATTATGTTATCTGCAAATAACCATAGGCTTGTTTCATCCCTTCCATACCCAAAATCACATTTCTGTACTCTCATACTTTTTGTTTAATTTTCTCGTCTTATTTCACCAGCTAAAACCTTCAACCTAATGTTGATTAGAAGCAGTGATTGTTGGCATCTTGTTTTTATTCCTGATTTTACAGAAACGTTTCTATTGTTTTAAGTATAATGTTTACACGGGGTTATAATTGACATTGTTTATCAGGTTAAAAGAGTTAACGTCTCTTTTTAGTTTGCTAGGAGTTTTAACAGGAGTAAGTGTTGACTTTTATCAAATAACTTTCCTGTATCTGCTGTGGTGATTGTGTCTCCCCTCCATTCTGTTTATATGGTGATTTACATTAAGAAAGCATTGTCTTTATCTTGCATTTCTGATTTAAACTCAGCTTGATCATGATGTACTTTTAAAATATTTATTTATTTATTTATTTATTTAAGATAGAGTCCTGCTCTGTCACCAGGCTGGAGTGCAGTGGCACAATCTCGGCTCACTGCAATCTCTGCCTCCTGGGTTCAAGCAATTCTCGTGCCTCAGCCTCCTGAGTAGCTGGGATTACAGGTGTGTGCCACCAAGCCCAGCACACACCTGTAATCCAAAAAAATACAAATTTTTTGTATTTTTACCAGAGACGGGGTTTCTCTAGGTTGGCCAGGCTGGTCTGGAACTCCCGGCCTCAAGTGATCCGCCTGCCTCGGCCTGCCAAAGTGTTGGGGTTACAGGCGTGAGCCGCCGCGCCCGGCCATGATGCACTTTGGCTTGCTAATATTTTATTTACGATGCTTCCATGTATTATTACTGGGACTTATTAATCTATAGTTTGTCTTTCTTATCCTATCTTTGGTTTCCAACCTTATAAAATTATTAGTAGATCATTTCCTCCTGTTCCAAACTCTGAATATGTTTGTATAGAATTGAAATTACCTGTTCCTTGAATGTCTGATTTGCCTGTAAACTCATCTTAGCCTGCATTTTTTTGTGGGGTGGATAGATTATATATACATATTTTTTTTTGAGACGGAGTCTCACCTTGTCACCCAGGCTGGAGTGCAATGGCATGATCTCCGCTCACTGCAACCTCTGCCTCCCAGGTTCACGCCGTTCTCCTGCCTCAGCCTCCAGAGTAGCTGGGACTACAGGCGCCTGCCACCATGCCCAGCTAATTTTTTTTTCACCGTGTTAGCCAGGATGGTCTCAATCTCCTGACCTCATGATCCGCCTGCCTCACCCTCCCAACGTGTTAGGATTACAGGCGTGAGCCACCGCACCCGGCCTAGATTATATTTTTTAAACTGCTGATTCAATTTAAAATAGTTTATAGTGGCCGGGCGAGGTGGCTCATGCCTGTAATCCCAGCACTTTGGGAGGCCGAGGTGGGTGGATCACCTGAGGTCAGGAGTTTGAGACCAGCCAGGACGACATGGTGAAACCCAGTCTCTACTAAAAATACAAAAATTAGCCGGGCGTGGTGGCATGCGCCTGTAATCCCAGCTACTTGGGAGGCTGAAGCAGGAGAATCTTGAACCTGGGAGGCAGAGGTTGCAGTGAGCTGAGATCATGCCATTGCACTCCAGCCTGGGCAACAAAGCAAGACTCTGTTTCAAAAAAATAAATAAATAAAATTAAATAAATAAAATAAAATAGTTTTTAGCCAGGTTTTTTTCTTAATTCATTTTTGATAAATTATATTTTTAAGGACAGTATATCCAATTTATCTAAGTTTTCATACTTTTTGGTATAAATTCATCAGAGCACTGTCTCTTAAATTTTTTTTCTGAAGTTATGTACCCTTTTTTGTTTCTAATAATCTTGATATCTGTGTCTTTTCTGTCTCTCTCTCTCCCTCCTCCCACACCCCCCCCCACTTTCTTTCTCTTGCCAGGTGTTTGTTTTATTTTCAAAGAACTAATCTTTGGCTTCATTTATTCCATTTTTAATTGTTTCTATAGTGAGTTCTGGTCTGTTACTATATCCTTCATTCTGCTTCCTTTTTCTTTTTTCTTCCTGGTCTTTCTAGTCCACCTTTTTTGCTGGCGGTTCCAGCTTTTTGCAGGGAAACTCAGTTCAGTGTCGTGACCGAGGGTCTTGCTTCCTTTCCTTTTTCAGCCTTTCAGTCAGCACATTTCCAAGGGCATTGACTCACCATCTTAGTTGTTAACTTCTTCACTCCTGAGTGTTTCCCTTTCTTTCTTCTCATCTCACCTCTGCATTAGAAAACATTTATTACATTTATAACCTGTATTTATCTGGCATCGGCTGGTTTTGCTATTAGAGGCTTATCTCTTCTTCCATATTGCTGAAATGGAGCTGTGCCACTTTTATAAAGAACTACAAAAATCTTTACTTTAAAAAAAAGGACGGTGCTGTCATGAAACTTCTGCTGCTGACACTGATTTTAGCAGAGGTGATGCAGGCTCTGAAAAGATGTTAATTGCCAAGAATTTACACATTCAGAAAGTTTGGCCCCTAGATAGCTCCTGTCTACTCAAAGCCTGATGATAGACAAATGCTCTTAATTATGTTATCAGGGAAATGAAATAAGGTTAAAAATAACTGCATAGAGAATGTTTTTAAATTTAAACCTTATTTGGAGAAACCAAGTTTTGCAAATTTTCTCTAGGAGAAAGCAGGCATCGAGTTTAGAGTCCTATCAACAAATCTCAACCTAATTCCAACTAAAGGAAGTTTCCGTTTAAAGTTGAAGTGGAGTCATTTTGGATTAAGCCAGGGGCCCAGGGACCTCCCAGAGGGCTCTGCGGTTCAGCCCGTGCCTTTGTCCACGTCGGTTTACAAGTGTGTCACCAGTAAGCAGTTACTATTAATGAAGTGCAGAAGCTTGCACGTGAGTCACTTTTTTAACAATTAGAGCTGGTTCATAACCATTATCACTCACTTGAGAGTCTAAGTTACTGTCTGAAGAAGAGAAGGTGGCGAATTACAGTCAATTCCAGAAAGTGGACTTGAAGCTGAATTCTTCCCTGAGACTTTGTCTCTCTGAGTATCATCTTGCCAACTATCTAGGAGCACTGAGGTTGAAAAAAAGAGTGGGAGCGGTGGCTCACACCTTTAATCCCAGTACTTTGAGAGTCTGAAGCAGGAGGATCGCTTGAGGCCGGGAGTTCGACACCAGCCTAGGCAACATAGCAAGATTCCACCTCTACAGAAATAAAAAAATTACCCAGGCATGGTTGTGTGTGCCTGTAGTCCCAGCTACTCAGAAGGCCAATTACACCGCTGAACTTCAGCCTGGGTGACAGAAGACCCTGTCTCTCTTTCTCTCTCTCTCTTTCTTTCTCTCTCTCTCTCTTTCTTCTCTCTCTCTCTCTCTCTATATATATATGTTTAAAAAGAAAAAAGAAAGAAGTTTGAGAACAGCTAGGGAACTAATGAAAACCCAAAAGAGTCAGTTTCTAAGAGAAAAAAAAAGGCAAGTTTTCTTGGTTTCTTCTTGGTTCAGAGACTCAGAGGCTAAGGTAATATTCACGAAGATGGTATGTGGCTAGTGCAGGTGCTGTGAAATATTTTAAACAAAAAAAGCCAATATTTAAACATTCTGCCTGGGAAATATTTTTCTTTATTTAATATCTATTTTTATTATTATTATTATTATTTTTATTTTTTAAGACACAGGGTCTCGCTATCTTGCCCAGGCTGGTCTCAAACTCCTGGCCTCGAGTGATCCTCCCACCTTGGCCTCCCAAAATGCTGGGATTACAGACATGAGCCACCATGCCTGGCCTCTGCCTGGGAAATAATTTTTTTTTAAAAAGTGGTTATGGTCAATAATATTAGCTTCTTGGTAGTCTGTGACCAGGGCAAGAGTATATGCATTTACCCCTTGGGTTTTTTACCAGATTGGCACAGATGTTAACAACGAAAAAGAAAAGTAGAAATTTAATTTATTTTTAAGAAAGATAATGCTATAATTCAAGTTGAGAGAGTTAACCCGGCTTATAGCAGGGGTACTGTTTGCCTCTTCCCATGGAGTTTAACACAGTTAATTCACCATTCTAGTCTAACCTCACCTTCCTCCTCACAAGGAAGACAGGCGGGAGCTGGAGAAGACCATTGGCTATATTCCTGCAACTGTGCTTTTTCTAGGCGATTTGAAGCAGTGCTTATCAGGGGCCTTCCTCTGTGGGAATCCTGCACCCCCATCTCTCTCTCCTTTTTTATTTTATTTATTTATTTTTTTTTTGAGACAGAATCTTGCTCTGTCGCCCAGGCTGCAGTGAAGTGGCATGATGTCTGCTCACTGCAACCTCCACCTCCTGGGTTCAAGCAATTCTCCTGCCTCAGCCTTTTGAGTAACTGGGATTACAGGCACCCACCACCACGCCCAGCTATTTCTGTATTTTTTTTTCTAGTAGAGACGGGGTTTTGCCATATTGCCCAGGCTGGTCTCGCACTCCTGACCTCAAGTGATCCACCCATCTCAGCCTCCCAAAGTGCTGGGATTGCAGGTGGGGCTACCATGCCCGGCCCCATCTCTTATTATTTTTTTATCCCCCAAATATGTACAGTTGTGATATATTAATTTTTCATTTTTTCTTTTTATTTCTTTTCATTTTTTACTTTAAGTTTCAGGATACATGTGCAGAACGTGCAGGTTTGTTACACAGGTATATATGTGCCATGGTGGTTTACTGCACCTATCAACCCATCACCTGCATGTATTAGCTATTTATCCTGACGCTCTTCCTCCCCTTGTCCCATCCCTGACAGGCGCCAGTGTGTGTTGTTCCCCTCTCTGTGTCCATGTGTTCTCATTGTTCAACTCCAACTTATGAGTGAAAACATGCAGTGTTTGGTTTTCTGTTCCCCTGTTAGTTTGTTGAGGATGATGGCTTTCAGCTTCATCCATGTACCTGCAAAGGACGTGATCCCATTCCTTTTTCATGGCTGCATAGTATTCCGTGCTGCATATGTACCACATTTTCTTTATCCAGTCTATCACTGATGGACATTTGGGTTGGTTTCATGTCTTTACTATTGTAAATAGTGCTGCAGTAAACATACGTGTGCATGTATCTTTATAACAGAATGATTTATATTCCTTTGGGCATATACCCAGTAATGGGATTGCTGGGTCAAATGGTATTTCTGGTTCTAGATCCTTGAGGAATCGCCACACTGTCTTCCACAATGGTTGAACTGATTTACACTCCCACCAACAGTGTAAAAGCGTTCCTATTTCACCACAGCCTTGCCAGCATCTGCTGTTTCTTGACTTTTTAATAATTGCCATTCTGAGTGGTGTGAGATGATATCCCTTTGTAGTTTTGATTTGCATTTCTCTAATGATCCATGATGATGAGCCTTTTTTCATATGTTTGTTGGTGGCATAAATGCCTTCTTTTGATAAGTGTCTGTTCATATCCTTTGCCTGCTTTTTGATGGGGTTGTTTATTTTTTTCTTGTAAATTTAAGTTCCTTGTAAATTCTGGATATTAGACCTCTGTCAGATGGTTAGATTGCAAAAATTTTCTCATTTTGTAGGTTGCCTGTTTGCTCTGATGATAGTTTCTTTTGCTGTGCAGAGCTCTTTAGTTTAATTAGATCCCATTTGTCAATTTTAGCTTTTGTTGCAAGTGCTTTTGGAGATTTCATCATAAAATCTTTGCCTATGTCTATGTCCTGAATGGTATTGCCTAGGTTTTCTTCTAGGGTTTTCATGGTTTGGGGTTTTACATGTAAGTCTTTAACCTGCCTTGAGTTAATTTTTGTATAAGGTGTAAGGAAGGGGTCCAGTTTCAGTTTTCTGCATATGGCTAACCAGTTTTCCCAGCACCATTTATTGAATAGAGAATCCTTTCACCATTGCCTGCTTTTGTCAGGTTTGTCAAAGATCAGATGGTTGTAGATGTGTGGTCTTATTTCCAAGGTATCTATTCTGTTCCATTGGTTTATATGTCAGTTTTGGTACCAGTACCATGCTGTTTTGGTTACTGTAGCCTTGTAGTATAGTTTGAAGTCAGGTAGCCTCCCACTTTGTTCTTTTTGCTTAGGATTGTCTTGGCTATTTGGGTTCTTTTTTGATTCCATATGAATTTTAAAGTAGTTTGTTCTCATTCTGTGAAGAATGGTAGTTTTCACATCCTTTGTTAGCTGTATTCCTAGGTATTTTATTCTATTTGTAGCAATTGTGAATAGGAGTTCATTCATGATTTAGCTCTCTGCTTGCCTATTTTGGTTCACTCCAGGAACCACAGAGGACACATTAATAACTGGAAGTAAAACTCCTGCCCCAGTCACCTCAACAGGCTCAACAACAGCGACACTAGAGGGACAATCAACTGCAGCTTCTTCAAGGACCTCTAATCAGGACATATCAGCTTCATCTCAGAACCACCAGACTAAGAGCACGGAGACCACCAGCAAAGCTCAAACCGACACCCTCACGCAGATGATGACATCAACTCTTTTTTCTTCCCCAAGTGTACACAATGTGATGGAGACTGTTACGCAGGAGACAGCTCCTCCAGATGAAATGACCACATCATTTCCCTCCAGTGTCACCAACACACTCATGATGACATCAAAGACTATAACAATGACAACCTCCACAGACTCCACTCTTGGAAACACAGAAGAGACATCAACAGCAGGAACTGAAAGTTCTACCCCAGTGACCTCAGCAGTCTCAATAACAGCTGGACAGGAAGGACAATCACGAACAACTTCCTGGAGGACCTCTATCCAAGACACATCAGCTTCTTCTCAGAACCACTGGACTCGGAGCACGCAGACCACCAGGGAATCTCAAACCAGCACCCTAACACACAGAACCACTTCAACTCCTTCTTTCTCTCCAAGTGTACACAATGTGACAGGGACTGTTTCTCAGAAGACATCTCCTTCAGGTGAAACAGCTACCTCATCCCTCTGTAGTGTCACAAACACATCCATGATGACATCAGAGAAGATAACAGTGACAACCTCCACAGGCTCCACTCTTGGAAACCCAGGGGAGACATCATCAGTACCTGTTACTGGAAGTCTTATGCCAGTCACCTCAGCAGCCTTAGTAACAGTTGATCCAGAAGGACAATCACCAGTAACTTTCTCAAGGACTTCTACTCAGGACACAACAGCTTTTTCTAAGAACCACCAGACTCAGAGCGTGGAGACCACCAGAGTATCTCAAATCAACACCCTCAACACCCTCACACCGGTTACAACATCAACTGTTTTATCCTCACCAAGTGGATTCAACCCAAGTGGAACAGTTTCTCAGGAGACATTCCCTTCTGGTGAAACAACCATCTCATCCCCTTCCAGTGTCAGCAATACATTCCTGGTAACATCAAAGGTGTTCAGAATGCCAATCTCCAGAGACTCTACTCTTGGAAACACAGAGGAGACATCACTATCTGTAAGTGGAACCATTTCTGCAATCACTTCCAAAGTTTCAACCATATGGTGGTCAGACACTCTGTCAACAGCACTCTCCCCCAGTTCTCTACCTCCAAAAATATCCACAGCTTTCCACACCCAGCAGAGTGAAGGTGCAGAGACCACAGGACGGCCTCATGAGAGGAGCTCATTCTCTCCAGGTGTGTCTCAAGAAATATTTACTCTACATGAAACAACAACATGGCCTTCCTCATTCTCCAGCAAAGGCCACACAACTTGGTCACAAACAGAACTGCCCTCAACATCAACAGGTGCTGCCACTAGGCTTGTCACAGGAAATCCATCTACAGGGGCAGCTGGCACTATTCCAAGGGTCCCCTCTAAGGTCTCAGCAATAGGGGAACCAGGAGAGCCCACCACATACTCCTCCCACAGCACAACTCTCCCAAAAACAACAGGGGCAGGCGCCCAGACACAATGGACACAAGAAACGGGGACCACTGGAGAGGCTCTTCTCAGCAGCCCAAGCTACAGTGTGACTCAGATGATAAAAACGGCCACATCCCCATCTTCTTCACCTATGCTGGATAGACACACATCACAACAAATTACAACGGCACCATCAACAAATCATTCAACAATACATTCCACAAGCACCTCTCCTCAGGAATCACCAGCTGTTTCCCAAAGGGGTCACACTCAAGCCCCGCAGACCACACAAGAATCACAAACCACGAGGTCCGTCTCCCCCATGACTGACACCAAGACAGTCACCACCCCAGGTTCTTCCTTCACAGCCAGTGGGCACTCGCCCTCAGAAATTGTTCCTCAGGACGCACCCACCATAAGTGCAGCAACAACCTTTGCCCCAGCTCCCACCGGGGATGGTCACACAACCCAGGCCCCGACCACAGCACTGCAGGCAGCACCCAGCAGCCATGATGCCACCCTGGGGCCCTCAGGAGGCACGTCACTTTCCAAAACAGGTGCCCTTACTCTGGCCAACTCTGTAGTGTCAACACCAGGGGGCCCAGAAGGACAATGGACATCAGCCTCTGCCAGCACCTCACCTGACACAGCAGCAGCCATGACCCATACCCACCAGGCTGAGAGCACAGAGGCCTCTGGACAAACACAGACCAGCGAACCGGCCTCCTCAGGGTCACGAACCACCTCAGCGGGCACAGCTACCCCTTCCTCATCCGGGGCGAGTGGCACAACACCTTCAGGAAGCGAAGGAATATCCACCTCAGGAGAGACGACAAGGTTTTCATCAAACCCCTCCAGGGACAGTCACACAACCCAGTCAACAACCGAATTGCTGTCCGCCTCAGCCAGTCATGGTGCCATCCCAGTAAGCACAGGAATGGCGTCTTCGATCGTCCCCGGCACCTTTCATCCCACCCTCTCTGAGGCCTCCACTGCAGGGAGACCGACAGGACAGTCAAGCCCAACTTCTCCCAGTGCCTCTCCTCAGGAGACAGCCGCCATTTCCCGGATGGCCCAGACTCAGAGGACAAGAACCAGCAGAGGGTCTGACACTATCAGCCTGGCGTCCCAGGCAACCGACACCTTCTCAACAGTCCCACCCACACCTCCATCGATCACATCCAGTGGGCTTACATCTCCACAAACCCAGACCCACACTCTGTCACCTTCAGGGTCTGGTAAAACCTTCACCACGGCCCTCATCAGCAACGCCACCCCTCTTCCTGTCACCTACGCTTCCTCGGCATCCACAGGTCACACCACCCCTCTTCATGTCACCGATGCTTCCTCAGTATCCACAGGTCACGCCACCCCTCTTCCTGTCACCGACACTTCCTCAGAATCCACAGGTCACGCCACCCCTCTTCCTGTCACCAGCCCTTCCTCAGTATCCACAGGTCACACCACCCCTCTTCCTGTCACCGACACTTCCTCAGAATCCACAGGTCATGTCACCCCTCTTCCTGTCACCAGCCTTTCCTCAGCATCCACAGGTGACAGCACCCCTCTTCCTGTCACTGACACTTCCTCAGCATCCACAGGTCACGTCACCCCTCTTCCTGTCACCAGCCTTTCCTCAGCATCCACAGGTGACACCACCCCTCTTCCTGTCACTGACACTTCCTCAGCATCCACAGGTCACGCCACCTCTCTTCCTGTCACCGACACTTCCTCAGTATCCACAGGTCACACCACCCCTCTTCCTGTCACCGACACTTCCTCAGCATCCACAGGTCACGCCACCTCTCTTCCTGTCACCGACACTTCCTCAGTATCCACAGCTCACGCCACCCCACTTCCTGTCACCGGCCTTTCTTCAGCTTCCACAGATGACACCACCCGTCTTCCTGTCACCGACGTTTCCTCGGCATCCACAGGTCAGGCCATCCCTCTTCCTGTCACCAGCCCTTCCTCAGCATCCACAGGTGACACCACCCCTCTTCCTGTCACCGACGCTTCCTCAGCATCCACAGGTGACACCACCTCTCTTCCTGTCACCATCCCTTCCTCAGCATCTTCAGGTCACACCACCTCTCTTCCTGTCACCGACGCTTCCTCAGTGTCCACAGGTCACGCCACCTCTCTTCTTGTCACCGACGCTTCCTCAGTATCCACAGGTGACACCACCCCTCTTCCTGTCACCGACACTAACTCAGCATCCACAGGTGACACCACCCCTCTTCATGTCACCGACGCTTCCTCAGTATCCACAGGTCACGCCACCTCTCTTCCTGTCACCAGCCTTTCCTCAGCATCCACAGGTGAC
The DNA here is from genome assembly GCF_000001405.40 of Homo sapiens. NCBI lineage: Eukaryota > Metazoa > Chordata > Mammalia > Primates > Hominidae > Homo > Homo sapiens. The sequence continues at coordinate 165,412 of NT_187532.1, read as the reverse complement.
ACCACGCCTCTTCCTGTCACTAGCCCTTCCTCAGCATCCTCAGGTCACACCACCCCTCTTCCTGTCACCGACGCTTCCTCAGTACCCACAGGTCACGCCACCTCTCTTCCTGTCACCGACGCTTCCTCAGTGTCCACAGGTCACGCCACCCCTCTTCCTGTCACCGACGCTTCCTCAGTGTCCACAGGTCATGCCACCCCTCTTCCGGTCACCGACACTTCCTCAGTATCTACAGGACAGGCCACCCCTCTTCCTGTCACCAGCCTTTCCTCAGCATCCACTGGTGACACCACGCCGCTTCCTGTCACCGATACTTCCTCAGCATCCACAGGTCAGGACACCCCTCTTCCTGTCACCAGCCTTTCCTCAGTATCCACAGGTGACACCACGCCTCTTCCTGTCACTAGCCCTTCCTCAGCATCCACAGGTCACGCCACCCCTCTTCTTGTCACCGACGCTTCCTCAGTATCCACAGGTCACGCCACCTCTCTTCTTGTCACCGACGCTTCCTCAGTATCCACAGGTCACGCCACCGCTCTTCATGTCACCGATGCTTCCTCATTATCCACAGGGGACACCACCCCTCTTCCTGTCACCAGCCCTTCCTCAGCATCCACAGGTGACACCACCCCTCTTCCTGTCACCGACACTTCCTCAGCATCCACAGGTCACGCCACCTCTCTTCCTGTCACCGACACTTCCTCAGCATCCACAGGTCACGCCACCCCTCTTCCTGTCACCGACACTTCCTCAGCATCCACAGGTCAGGCCACCCCTCTTCCTGTCACCGGCCCTTCCTCAGCATCCACAGGTCACGCCATCCCTCTTCTTGTCACCGACACTTCCTCAGCATCCACAGGACAGGCCACCCCTCTTCCTGTCACCAGCCTTTCCTCAGCATCCACAGGTGACACCACCCCTCTTCCTGTCACCGACGCTTCCTCAGTGTCCACAGGTCACGCCACCTCTCTTCCTGTCACCAGCCTTTCCTCAGTATCCACAGGTGACACCACCCCTCTTCCTGTCACCAGCCCTTCCTCAGCATCCTCAGGTCACACCACCCCTCTTCCTGTCACCGACGCTTCCTCAGTATCCACAGGTGACACCACCCCTCTTCCTGTCACCAGCCCTTCCTCAGCATCCTCAGGTCACACCACCCCTCTTCCTGTCACCAGCCCTTCCTCAGCATCCTCAGGTCACACCACCCCTCTTCCTGTCACCGACGCTTCCTCAGCATCCACAGGTGACACCACCCCTCTTCCTGTCACCGACACTTCCTCAGCATCCACAGGTCACGCCACCCATCTTCCTGTCACCGGCCTTTCCTCAGCTTCCACAGGTGACACCACCCGTCTTCCTGTCACCAACGTTTCCTCGGCATCCACAGGTCATGCCACCCCTCTTCCTGTCACCAGCACTTCCTCAGCATCCACAGGTGACACCACCCCTCTTCCTGGCACCGACACTTCCTCAGTATCCACAGGTCACACCACCCCTCTTCTTGTCACCGACGCTTCGTCAGTATCCACAGGTGACACCACCCGTCTTCCTGTCACCAGCCCTTCCTCAGCATCTACAGGTCACACCACCCCTCTACCTGTCACCGACACTCCCTCAGCATCCACAGGTGACACCACCCCTCTTCCTGTCACCAATGCTTCCTCATTATCCACACGTCACACCACCTCTCTTCATGTCACCAGCCCTTCCTCAGCATCCACAGGTCACGCCACCTCTCTTCCTGTCACCGACACTTCCTCAGTATCCACAGGTCATGCCACCCCTCTTCATGTCACCAGCCCTTCCTCAGCATCCACAGGTGACACCACCCCTCTTCCTGTCACCGACACTTACTCAGCATCCACAGGTCAGGCCACCCCTCTTCCTGTCACCGACACTTCCTCAGCATCCACAGGTGACACCACCCCTCTTCCTGTCACCGACACTTCCTCAGCATCCACAGGTCACGCCACCCCTCTTCCTGTCACCAACACTTCCTCAGTATCCACAGGTCACGCCACCCCTCTTCATGTCACCAGCCCTTCCTCAGCATCCACAGGTCACACCACCCCTCTTCCTGTCACCGACGCTTCGTCAGTGTCCACAGGTCACGCCACCTCTCTTCCTGTCACCGACGCTTCCTCAGTGTTCACAGGTCACGCCACCTCGCTTCCTGTCACCATCCCTTCCTCAGCATCCTCAGGTCACACCACCCCTCTTCCTGTCACCGACGCTTCCTCAGTGTCCACAGGTCACGCCACCTCTCTTCCTGTCACCGACGCTTCCTCAGTGTCCACAGGTCACGCCACCCCTCTTCCTGTCACCGACGCTTCCTCAGTGTCCACAGGTCACGCTACCCCTCTTCCTGTCACCGACACTTCCTCAGTATCCACAGGTCACGCCACCCCTCTTCCTCTCACCAGCCTTTCCTCAGTATCCACAGGTGACACCACGCCTCTTCCTGTCACCGACACTTCCTCAGCATCCACAGGTCAGGCCACCCCTCTTCCTGTCACCAGCCTTTCCTCAGTATCCACAGGTGACACCACCCCTCTTCCTGTCACCGACACTTCCTCAGCATCCACAGGTCACGCCACCTCTCTTCCTGTCACCGACACTTCCTCAGCATCCACAGGTCACGCCACCCCTCTTCCTGACACCGACACTTCCTCAGCATCCACAGGTCACGCCACCCCTCTTCCTGTCACCGACACTTCCTCAGCATCCACAGGTCACGCCACCCTTCTTCCTGTCACCGACACTTCCTCAGCATCCATAGGTCACGCCACCCCTCTTCCTGTCACCGACACTTCCTCAATATCCACAGGTCACGCCACCCCTCTTCATGTCACCAGCCCTTCCTCAGCATCCACCGGTCACGCCACCCCGCTTCCTGTCACCGACACTTCCTCAGCATCCACAGGTCACGCCAACCCTCTTCATGTCACCAGCCCTTCCTCAGCATCCACCGGTCACGCCACCCCGCTTCCTGTCACCGACACTTCCTCAGCATCCACAGGTCACGCCACCCCTCTTCCTGTCACCAGCCTTTCCTCAGTATCCACAGGTGACACCACGCCTCTTCCTGTCACTAGCCCTTCCTCAGCATCCACAGGTCACACCACCCCTCTTCCTGTCACCGACACTTCCTCAGCATCCACAGGTCAGGCCACCGCTCTTCCTGTCACCAGCACTTCCTCAGCATCCACAGGTGACACCACCCCTCTTCCTGTTACCGACACTTCCTCAGCATCCACAGGTCAGGCCACCCCTCTTCCTGTCACCAGCCTTTCCTCAGTATCCACAGGTGACACCACGCCTCTTCCTGTCACTAGCCCTTCCTCAGCATCCACAGGTCACGCCACTCCTCTTCTTGTCACCGACGCTTCCTCAGCATCCACAGGTCAGGCCACCCCTCTTCCTGTCACCGACACTTCCTCAGCATACACAGGTGACACCACCTCTCTTCCTGTCACCGACACTTCCTCATCATCCACAGGTGACACCACCCCTCTTCTTGTCACCGAGACTTCCTCAGCATCCACAGGTCACGCCACCCCTCTTCATGTCACCAGCCCTTCCTCAGCATCCACAGGTGACACCACCCCTGTGCCTGTCACCGACACTTCCTCAGTATCCACAGGTCACGCCACCCCTCTTCCTGTCACCGGCCTTTCCTCAGCTTCCACAGGTGACACCACCCGTCTTCCTGTCACCGACATTTCCTCGGCATCCACAGGTCAGGCCACCCCTCTTCCTGTCACCAACACTTCCTCAGCATCCACAGGTCACGCCACCCCTCTTCCTGTCACCGGCCTTTCCTCAGCTTCCACAGGTGACACCACCCGTCTTCCTGTCACCGACATTTCCTCGGCATCCACAGGTCAGGCCACCCCTCTTCCTGTCACCAACACTTCCTCAGTATCCACAGGTGACACCATGCCTCTTCCTGTCACTAGCCCTTCCTCAGCATCCACAGGTCACGCCACCCCTCTTCCTGTCACCAGCACTTCCTCAGCATCCACCGGTCACGCCACCCCTGTTCCTGTCACCAGCACTTCCTCAGCATCTACAGGTCACACCACCCCTCTTCCTGTCACCGACACTTCCTCAGCATCCACAGGTGACACCACCCCTCTTCCTGTCACCAGCCCTTCCTCAGCATCTACAGGTCACACCACCCCTCTTCATGTCACCATCCCTTCCTCAGCATCCACAGGTGACACCAGCACTCTTCCTGTCACCGGCGCTTCCTCAGCATCCACCGGTCACGCCACCCCTCTTCCTGTCACCGACACTTCCTCAGTATCCACAGGTCACGCCACCCCTCTTCCTGTCACCAGCTTTTCCTCAGTATCCACAGGTGACACCACGCCTCTTCCTGTCACCGACACTTCCTCAGTATCCACAGGTCACGCCACCCCTCTTCCTGTCACCAGCTTTTCCTCAGTATCCACAGGTGACACCACCCCTCTTCCTGTCACCGACGCTTCCTCGGCATCCACCGGTCACGCCACCCCTCTTCCTGTCACCGACACTTCCTCAGTATCCACAGGTCACGCCACCCCTCTTCCTCTCACCAGCCTTTCCTCAGTATCCACAGGTGACACCACGACTCTTCCTGTCACCGACACTTCCTCAGTATCCACAGGTCACGCCACCCCTCTTCCTGTCACCAGCTTTTCCTCAGTATCCACAGGTGACACCACCCCTCTTCCTGTCACCGACGCTTCCTCGGCATCCACCGGTCACGCCACCCCTCTTCCTGTCACCGACACTTCCTCAGTATCCACCGGTCACGCCACGCCTCTTCCTGTCACCAGCCTTTCCTCAGTATCCACAGGTGACACCACCCCTCTTCCTGTCACCGACGCTTCCTCGGCATCCACAGGTCAGGCCACCCCTCTTCCTGTCACCAGCCTTTCCTCAGTATCAACAGGTGACACCACGCCTCTTCCTGTCACCATCCCTTCCTCAGCATCCTCAGGTCACACCACCTCTCTTCCTGTCACCGACACTTCCTCAGCATCCACAGGTCAGGCCACCCCTCTTCCTGTCACCAGCCTTTCCTCAGTATCCACAGGTGACACCACCCCTCTTCTTGTCACCGACGCTTCCTCAGTATCCACAGGTCACGCCACCCCTCTTCCTGTCACCGACACTTCCTCAGCATCCACAGGTGACACCACCCGTCTTCCTGTCACAGACACTTCCTCAGCATCCACAGGTCAGGCCACCCCTCTTCCTGTCACCAGCCTTTCCTCAGTATCCACAGGTGACACCACCCCTCTTCTTGTCACCAACACTTCCTCAGTATCCAGAGGTCACGCCACCTCTCTTCCTGTCACCATCCCTTCCTCATCATCCTCAGGTCACACCACCCCTCTTCCTGTCACCAGCACTTCCTCAGTATCTACAGGTCACGTCACCCCTCTTCCTGTCACCAGCACTTCCTCAGCATCCACAGGTCACGCCACCTCTCTTCCTGTCACCGACACTTCCTCAGTATCCACAGGTCACGCCACCTCTCTTCCTGTCACCGACACTTCCTCAGTATCCACAGGTCACGCCACCCCTCTTCCTGTCACCGACGCTTCCTCAGTGTCCACAGGTCACGCCACGCCTCTTCCTGTCACCGACGCTTCCTCAGCATCCACAGGTGACACCACCCCTCTTCCTGTCACCAACACTTCCTCAGCATCCACAGGTCAGGCCACCCCTCTTCCTGTCACCAGCCTTTCCTCAGTATCCACAGGTGACACCATGCCTCTTCCTGTCACTAGCCCTTCCTCAGCATCCACAGGTCACGCCACCCCTCTTCCTGTTACCGGCCTTTCCTCAGCTTCCACAGGTGACACCACCCCTCTTCCTGTCACTGACACTTCCTCAGCATCCACAGGTCACGTCACCCCTCTTCCTGTCACCAGCCTTTCCTCAGCATCCACAGGTGACAGCACCCCTCTTCCTGTCACTGACACTTCCTCAGCATCCACAGGTCACGTCACCCCTCTTCCTGTCACCAGCCTTTCCTCAGCATCCACAGGTGACACCACCCCTCTTCCTGTCACTGACACTTCCTCAGCATCCACAGGTCACGCCACCCCTCTTCATGTCACTGATGCTTCCTCAGCATCCACAGGTCAGGCCACCCTTCTTCCTGTCACCAGCCTTTCCTCAGTATCCACAGGTGACACCACGCCTCTTCCTGTCACTAGCCCTTCCTCAGCATCCACAGGTCACGCCACCCCTCTTCTTGTCACCGACACTTCCTCAGCATCCACAGGACACGCCACCCCTCTTCCTGTCACGGACGCTTCCTCAGTGTCCACAGGTCACGCCACCTCTCTTCCTGTAACCATCCGTTCCTCAGGTTCCACAGGTCACACCACCCCTCTTCCTGTCACCGACACTTCCTCAGCATCCACAGGTCAGGCCACCTCTCTTCTTGTCACCGACACTTCCTCAGTATCCACAGGTGACACCACGCCTCTTCCTGTCACTAGCACTTCCTCAGCATCCACAGGTCACGTCACTCCTCTTCATGTCACCAGCCCTTCCTCAGCATCCACAGGTCACGCCACCCCTCTTCCTGTCACCAGCCTTTCCTCAGCATCCACAGGTGACACCATGCCTCTTCCTGTCACTAGCCCTTCCTCAGCATCCACAGGTGACACCACCCCTCTTCCTGTCACCGACGCTTCCTCAGTATCCACAGGTCACACCACCCCTCTTCCTGTCACCAGCCCTTCCTCAGCATCTACAGGTCACACCACCCCTCTTCCTGTCACCGACACTACCTCAGCATCCAAAGGTGACACCACCCCTCTTCCTGTCACCAGCCCTTCCTCAGCATCTACAGGTCACACCACCCCTCTTCCTGTCACCGACACTTCCTCAGCATCCACAGGTGACACCACCCCTCTTCCTGTCACCAGCCCTTCCTCAGCATCCACAGGTCACGCCACCCCTCTTCCTGTCACCAATGCTTCCTCATTATCCACAGGTCACGCCACCCCTCTTCATGTCACCAGCCCTTCCTCAGCATCCACAGGTCACGCCACCCCTCTTCCTGTCACCAGCACTTCCTCAGCATCCACCGGTCACGCCACCTCTCTTCCTGTCACCAGCACTTCCTCAGCATCCACCGGTCACGCCACCCCTCTTCCTGTCACCGACAATTCCTCAGTATCCACAGGTCACGCCACCCCTCTTCCTGTCACCGGCCTTTCCTCAGCTACCACAGATGACACCACCCGTCTTCCTGTCACCGACGTTTCCTCGGCATCCACAGGTCAGGCCACCCCTCTTCCTGTCACCAGCCTTTCCTCAGTATCCACAGGTGACACCACGCCTCTTCCTGTCACTAGCCCTTCCTCAGCATCCACAGGTCACGCCAGCCCTCTTCTTGTCACTGACGCTTCCTCAGCATCCACAGGTCAGGCCACCCCTCTTCCTGTCACCGACACTTCCTCAGTATCCACAGCTCACGCCACCCCACTTCCTGTCACCGGCCTTTCTTCAGCTTCCACAGATGACACCACCCGTCTTCCTGTCACCGACGTTTCCTCGGCATCCACAGGTCAGGCCATCCCTCTTCCTGTCACCAGCCCTTCCTCAGCATCCACAGGTGACACCACCCCTCTTCCTGTCACCGACGCTTCCTCAGCATCCACAGGTGACACCACCTCTCTTCCTGTCACCATCCCTTCCTCAGCATCTTCAGGTCACACCACCTCTCTTCCTGTCACCGACGCTTCCTCAGTGTCCACAGGTCACGCCACCTCTCTTCTTGTCACCGACGCTTCCTCAGTATCCACAGGTGACACCACCCCTCTTCCTGTCACCGACACTAACTCAGCATCCACAGGTGACACCACCCCTCTTCATGTCACCGACGCTTCCTCAGTATCCACAGGTCACGCCACCTCTCTTCCTGTCACCAGCCTTTCCTCAGCATCCACAGGTGACACCACGCCTCTTCCTGTCACTAGCCCTTCCTCAGCATCCTCAGGTGACACCACCCCTCTTCCTGTCACCGACACTTCCTCAGCATCCACAGGTCACGCCACCCATCTTCCTGTCACCGGCCTTTCCTCAGCTTCCACAGGTGACACCACCCGTCTTCCTGTCACCAACGTTTCCTCGGCATCCACAGGTCATGCCACCCCTCTTCCTGTCACCAGCACTTCCTCAGCATCCACAGGTGACACCACCCCTCTTCCTGGCACCGACACTTCCTCAGTATCCACAGGTCACACCACCCCTCTTCTTGTCACCGACGCTTCGTCAGTATCCACAGGTGACACCACCCGTCTTCCTGTCACCAGCCCTTCCTCAGCATCTACAGGTCACACCACCCCTCTTCATGTCACCGATGCTTCCTCAGTATCCACAGGTCACACCACCCCTCTTCCTGTCACCGACACTTCCTCAGCATCCACAGGTCAGGCCACCTCTCTTCTTGTCACCGACACTTCCTCAGTATCCACAGGTGACACCACGCCTCTTCCTGTCACTAGCACTTCCTCAGCATCCACAGGTCACGTCACTCCTCTTCATGTCACCAGCCCTTCCTCAGCATCCACAGGTCACGCCACCCCTCTTCCTGTCACCAGCCTTTCCTCAGCATCCACAGGTGACACCACCCCTCTTCCTGTCACCGACACTTCCTCAGTATCCACAGGTCACACCACCCCTCTTCCTGTCACCAGCCCTTCCTCAGCATCTACAGGTCACACCACCCCTCTTCCTGTCACCGACACTTCCTCAGCATCCAAAGGTGACACCACCCCTCTTCCTGTCACCAGCCCTTCCTCAGCATCTACAGGTCACACCACCCCTCTTCCTGTCACCGACACTTCCTCAGCATCCACAGGTGACACCACCCCTCTTCCTGTCACCAATGCTTCCTCATTATCCACAGGTCACGCCACCCCTCTTCATGTCACCAGCCCTTCCTCAGCATCCACAGGTCACGCCACCCCTCTTCCTGTCACCAGCACTTCCTCAGCATCCACCGGTCACGCCACCCCTCTTCCTGTCACCAGCACTTCCTCAGCATCCACCGGTCACGCCACCCCTCTTCCTGTCACCGACAATTCCTCAGTATCCACAGGTCATGCCACCCCTCTTCCTGTCACCGGCCTTTCCTCAGCTACCACAGATGACACCACCCGTCTTCCTGTCACCGACGTGTCCTCGGCATCCACAGGTCAGGCCACCCCTCTTCCTGTCACCAGCCTTTCCTCAGTATCCACAGGTGACACCACGCCTCTTCCTGTCACTAGCCCTTCCTCAGCATCCACAGGTCACGCCAGCCCTCTTCTTGTCACTGACGCTTCCTCAGCATCCACAGGTCAGGCCACCCCTCTTCCTGTCACCGACACTTCCTCAGTATCCACAGCTCACGCCACCCCACTTCCTGTCACCGGCCTTTCCTCAGCTTCCACAGATGACACCACCCGTCTTCCTGTCACCGACGTTTCCTCGGCATCCACAGGTCAGGCCATCCCTCTTCCTGTCACCAGCCCTTCCTCAGCATCCACAGGTGACACCACCCCTCTTCCTGTCACCGACGCTTCCTCAGCATCCACAGGTGACACCACCTCTCTTCCTGTCACCATCCCTTCCTCAGCATCTTCAGGTCACACCACCTCTCTTCCTGTCACCGACGCTTCCTCAGTGTCCACAGGTCACGCCACCTCTCTTCTTGTCACCGACGCTTCCTCAGTATCCACAGGTGACACCACCCCTCTTCCTGTCACCGACACTAACTCAGCATCCACAGGTGACACCACCCCTCTTCATGTCACCGACGCTTCCTCAGTATCCACAGGTCACGCCACCTCTCTTCCTGTCACCAGCCTTTCCTCAGCATCCACAGGTGACACCACGCCTCTTCCTGTCACTAGCCCTTCCTCAGCATCCTCAGGTCACACCACCTCTCTTCCTGTCACCGACGCTTCCTCAGTGTCCACAGGTCACGCCACCTCTCTTCCTGTCACCATCCCTTCCTCAGCATCCTCAGGTCACACCACCCCTCTTCCTGTCACCGACGCTTCCTCAGTACCCACAGGTCACGCCACCTCTCTTCCTGTCACCGACGCTTCCTCAGTGTCCACAGGTCACGCCACCCCTCTTCCTGTCACCGACGCTTCCTCAGTGTCCACAGGTCATGCCACCCCTCTTCCGGTCACCGACACTTCCTCAGTATCTACAGGACAGGCCACCCCTCTTCCTGTCACCAGCCTTTCCTCAGCATCATCCACTGGTGACACCACGCCGCTTCCTGTCACTGATACTTCCTCAGCATCCACAGGTCAGGACACCCCTCTTCCTGTCACCAGCCTTTTCTCAGTATCCACAGGTGACACCACGCCTCTTCCTGTCACTAGCCCTTCCTCAGCATCCACAGGTCACGCCACCCATCTTCTTGTCACCGACGCTTCCTCAGTATCCACAGGTCACGCCACCTCTCTTCTTGTCACCGACGCTTCCTCAGTATCCACAGGTCACGCCACCGCTCTTCATGTCACCGATGCTTCCTCATTATCCACAGGGGACACCACCCCTCTTCCTGTCACCAGCCCTTCCTCAGCATCCACAGGTGACACCACCCCTCTTCCTGTCACCGACACTTCCTCAGTATCCACAGGTCACGCCACCTCTCTTCCTGTCACTGACACTTCCTCAGCATCCACAGGTCACGCCACCTCTCTTCCTGTCACCGACACTTCCTCAGCATCCACAGGTCAGGCCACCCCTCTTCCTGTCACCAGCCCTTCCTCAGCATCCACAGGTCACGCCATCCCTCTTCTTGTCACCGACACTTCCTCAGCATCCACAGGACAGGCCACCCCTCTTCCTGTCACCAGCCTTTCCTCAGCATCCACAGGTGACACCACCCCTCTTCCTGTCACCGATGCTTCCTCAGTGTCCACAGGTCACGCCACCTCTCTTCCTGTCACCAGCCTTTCCTCAGTATCCACAGGTGACACCACCCCTCTTCCTGTCACTAGCCCTTCCTCAGCATCCACAGGTCACGCCACCCCTCTTCATGTCACCAGCCCTTCCTCAGCATCCACAGGTCACGCCACCCCTCTTCCTGTCACCAGCCTTTCCTCAGCATCCACAGGTGACACCACGCCTCTTCCTGTCACTAGCCCTTCCTCAGCATCCACAGGTCACGCCACCCCTCTTCATGTCACCGACGCTTCCTCAGTATCCACAGGTGACACCACCCCTCTTCCTGTCACCAGCCCTTCCTCAGCATCCTCAGGTCACACCACCCCTCTTCCTGTCACCGACGCTTCCTCAGCATCCACAGGTGACACCACCCCTCTTCCTGTCACCGACACTTCCTCAGCATCCACAGGTCACGCCACCCATCTTCCTGTCACCGGCCTTTCCTCAGCTTCCACAGGTGACACCACCCGTCTTCCTGTCACCGACGTTTCCTCGGCATCCACAGGTCATGCCACCCCTCTTCCTGTCACCAGCACTTCCTCAGCATCCACAGGTGACACCACCCCTCTTCCTGGCACCGACACTTCCTCAGTATCCACAGGTCACACCACCCCTCTTCTTGTCACCGACGCTTCGTCAGTATCCACAGGTGACACCACCCGTCTTCCTGTCACCAGCCCTTCCTCAGCATCTACAGGTCACACCACCCCTCTACCTGTCACCGACACTCCCTCAGCATCCACAGGTGACACCACCCCTCTTCCTGTCACCAATGCTTCCTCATTATCCACACGTCACGCCACCTCTCTTCATGTCACCAGCCCTTCCTCAGCATCCACCGGTCACGCCACCCCTCTTCCTGTTACCGACACTTCCGCAGCATCCACAGGTCACGCCACCCCTCTTCCTGTCACCAGCACTTCCTCAGCATCCACAGGTGACACCACCCCTCTTCCTGTCACCGACACTTCCTCAGCATCCACAGGTCACGCCACCCCTCTTCCTGTCACCAACACTTCCTCAGTATCCACAGGTCACGCCACCCCTCTTCATGTCACCAGCCCTTCCTCAGCATCCACAGGTCACACCACCCCTCTTCCTGTCACCGACGCTTCGTCAGTGTCCACAGGTCACGCCACCTCTCTTCCTGTCACCGACGCTTCCTCAGTGTCCACAGGTCACGCCACCCCTCTTCCTGTCACCGACGCTTCCTCAGTGTCCACAGGTCACGCTACCCCTCTTCCTCTCACCAGCCTTTCCTCAGTATCCACAGGTGACACCACGCCTCTTCCTGTCACCGACACTTCCTCAGCATCCACAGGTCAGGCCACCCCTCTTCCTGTCACCAGCCTTTCCTCAGTATCCACAGGTGACACCACCCCTCTTCCTGTCACCGACACTTCCTCAGCATCCACAGGTCACGCCACCTCTCTTCCTGTCACCGACACTTCCTCAGCATCCACAGGTCACGCCACCCCTCTTCCTGTCACCGACACTTCCTCAATATCCACAGGTCACGCCACCCCTCTTCATGTCACCAGCCCTTCCTCAGCATCCACCGGTCACGCCACCCCGCTTCCTGTCACCGACACTTCCTCAGCATCCACAGGTCACGCCACCCCTCTTCCTGTCACCAGCCTTTCCTCAGTATCCACAGGTGACACCACGCCTCTTCCTGTCACTAGCCCTTCCTCAGCATCCACAGGTCACGCCACTCCTCTTCTTGTCACCGACGCTTCCTCAGCATCCACAGGTCAGGCCACCCCTCTTCCTGTCACCAGCCTTTCCTCAGTATCCACAGGTGACACCACGCCTCTTCCTGTCACTAGCCCTTCCTCAGCATCCACCGGTCATGCCACCTCTCTTCCTGTCACCGACACTTCCTCAGCATCCACAGGTGACACCACCTCTCTTCCTGTCACCGACACTTCCTCAGCATACACAGGTGACACCACCTCTCTTCCTGTCACCGACACTTCCTCATCATCCACAGGTGACACCACCCCTCTTCTTGTCACCGAGACTTCCTCAGCATCCACAGGTGACACCACCCCTGTGCCTGTCACCGACACTTCCTCAGTATCCACAGGTCACGCCACCCCTCTTCCTGTCACCGGCCTTTCCTCAGCTTCCACAGGTGACACCACCCGTCTTCCTGTCACCGACATTTCCTCGGCATCCACAGGTCAGGCCACCCCTCTTCCTGTCACCAACACTTCCTCAGTATCCACAGGTGACACCATGCCTCTTCCTGTCACTAGCCCTTCCTCAGCATCCACAGGTCACGCCACCCCTCTTCCTGTCACCAGCACTTCCTCAGCATCCACCGGTCACGCCACCCCTGTTCCTGTCACCAGCACTTCCTTAGCATCCACAGGTCACACCACCCCTCTTCCTGTCACCAGCCCTTCCTCAGCATCTACAGGTCACACCACCCCTCTTCCTGTCACCGACACTTCCTCAGCATCCACAGGTGACACCACCCCTCTTCCTGTCACCAATGCTTCCTCATTATCCACAGGACACACCACCCCTCTTCATGTCACCATCCCTTCCTCAGCATCCACAGGTGACACCAGCACTCTTCCTGTCACCGGCGCTTCCTCAGCATCCACCGGTCACGCCACCCCTCTTCCTGTCACCGACACTTCCTCAGTATCCACAGGTCACGCCACCCCTCTTCCTGTCACCAGCTTTTCCTCAGTATCCACAGGTGACACCACCCCTCTTCCTGTCACCGACGCTTCCTCGGCATCCACCGGTCACGCCACCCCTCTTCCTGTCACCGACACTTCCTCAGCATCCACAGGTGACACCACCCCTCTTCCTGTCACCGACGCTTCCTCGGCATCCACAGGTCAGGCCACCCCTCTTCCTGTCACCAGCCTTTCCTCAGTATCAACAGGTGACACCACGCCTCTTCCTGTCACCATCCCTTCCTCAGCATCCTCAGGTCACACCACCTCTCTTCCTGTCAGCGACACTTCCTCAGCATCCACAGGTCAGGCCACCCCTCTTCCTGTCACCAGCCTTTCCTCAGTATCCACAGGTGACACCACCCCTCTTCTTGTCACCGACGCTTCCTCAGTATCCACAGGTCACGCCACCCCTCTTCCTGTCACCGACACTTCCTCAGCATCCACAGGTGACACCACCCGTCTTCCTGTCACGGACACTTCCTCAGCATCCACAGGTCAGGCCACCCCTCTTCCTGTCACCAGCCTTTCCTCAGTATCCACAGGTGACACCACCCCTCTTCTTGTCACCAACACTTCCTCAGTATCCACAGGTCACGCCACCTCTCTTCCTGTCACCATCCCTTCCTCATCATCCTCAGGTCACACCACCCCTCTTCCTGTCACCAGCACTTCCTCAGTATCTACAGGTCACGTCACCCCTCTTCATGTCACCAGCCCTTCCTCATCATCCACAGGTCAGGCCACCCCTCTTCCTGTCACCAGCACTTCCTCAGTATCTACAGGTCACGTCACCCCTCTTCATGTCACCAGCCCTTCCTCAGCATCCACAGGTCACGCCACCCCTCTTCCTGTCACCAGCACTTCCTCAGCATCCACAGGTCACGCCACCCCTCTTCCTGTCACCGACGCTTCCTCAGTGTCCACAGGTCACGCCACGCCTCTTCCTGTCACCGACACTTCCTCAGCATCCACAGGTGACACCACCCCTCTTCCTGTCACCGACACTTCCTCAGCATCCACAGGTCAGGCCACCCCTCTTCCTGTCACCAGCCTTTCCTCAGTATCCACAGGTCACGCCACCCCTCTTGCTGTCAGCAGTGCTACCTCAGCTTCCACAGTATCCTCGGACTCCCCTCTGAAGATGGAAACATCAGGTAGCTGCCAACTGCCTCGCCTTTATGTCTCCCAGTGGGCCCCTTGGCGGAATTCAGCCTAAGGAGTACCTGAGAACACTGGTGCATTCGCATTACCTGGTGGGGCCGTGTCAGGTCCCACAGGGGAGGAGGTGATGGGTGTGGTGGGTGACAGGCTCACCCTCCTTTGTGCCGCAATCGAAAAGCACTGATGTCGAGAGTAGTTTGGATATGAGCAGGGGAGAGACAAGGAGTTTCCAGCTCTCTCTTCCAGCTCCTGATTTCTTTGAATCTCTTTGACTCTCCTGTTTTGTTACTGTAAGAAACACCCCGCCTTGTCTTTTCACGTGTCCAGGAATGACAACACCGTCACTGAAGACAGACGGTGGGAGACGCACAGCCACATCACCACCCCCCACAACCTCCCAGACCATCATTTCCACCATTCCCAGCACTGCCATGCACACCCGCTCCACAGCTGCCCCCATCCCCATCCTGCCTGAGAGAGGTGAGGCCATACAGGTGAGGCCTGTGCCTTTTGAGGGGTGATGTAACTGAAGGCTCCCTCTCAGCCTACTTCCCACAGTCTCTGCTCTCTCGGGTGGGGAGAGCCTTACCGAGGACAGGGACACAGCATCGGAGTCGCTCCTGAGGGCTGGCTTTGTGCATGGCACTGGGCCAGGAGCTGGAGACAGAGAAATGACCCCAGTGCCATTCAGCAAGGGATAGATGGACGGTCCGGTAGCGGCGGTTAGAGGACTCATCCCAGGGTCTAAGTGCACACAATGGAAGGCCCTAAGGAATGCAGAGCCGGGGATGGAGGAGCACCCCAGGCAGGGAGGAGGGCGGGAACAGCTGGAACAAAGGTGTGGAAGGTATGGGTGTGGAAGGTATGGGTGTGGAAGGTATGGCCGTGGAAGGTATGGGTGTGGAAGGTATGGGTGTGGAAGGTATGGGTGTGGAAGGTATGACTGTGGAAGCTATGGGTGTGGAAGGTATGACTGTGGAAGGTATGGGTGTGGAAGGTATGACTGTGGAAGGTATGGGTGTGGAAGGTATGACTGTGGAAGGTATGGGTGTGGAAGGTATGGGTGTGGAAGGTATGGGTGTGGAAGGTATGGGTGTGGAAGGTATGGCCGTGGAAGGTATGGGTGTGGAAGGTATGGGTGTGGAAGGTATGGGTGTGGAAGGTATGACTGTGGAAGGTATGGGTGTGGAAGGTATGACTGTGGAAGGTATGGGTGTGGAAGGTATGACTGTGGAAGGTATGGGTGTGGAAGGTATGACTGTGGAAGGTATGGGTGTGGAAGGTATGGGTGTGGAAGGTATGGGTGTGGAAGGTATGGGTGTGGAAGGTATGGGTGTGGAAGGTATGACTGTGGAAGGTATGGGTGTGGAAGGTATGACTGTGGAAGGTATGGGTGTGGAAGGTATGGGTGTGGAAGGTATGGGTGTGGAAGGTATGGGTGTGGAAGGTATGGCCGTGGAAGGTATGGGTGTGGAAGGTATGGCCGTGGAAGGTATGGGTGTGGAAGGTATGACTGTGGAAGGTATGGGTGTGGAAGGTATGGGTGTGGAAGGTATGACTGTGGAAGGTATGGGCGTGGAAGGTATGGGCGTGGAAGGTATGGGTGTGGAAGGTATGGGTGTGGAAGGTATGGGTGTGGAAGGTATGGATGTGGAAGGTATGGGTGTGGAAGGTATGGGTGTGGAAGGTATGGGTGTGGAAGGTATGACTGTGGAAGGTATAGGTGTGGAAGGTATGGGTGTGGAAGGTATGGGTGTGGAAGGTATGACTGTGGAAGGTATGGGTGTGGAAGGTATGGCCGTGGAAGGTATGGGTGTGGAAGGTATGACTGTGGAAGGTATGGGCGTGGAAGGTATGGGTGTGGAAGGTATGGGTGTGGAAGGTATGGGTGTGGAAGGTAAGGGTGTGGAAGGTATGGGTGTGGAAGGTATGGGTGTGGAAGGTATGGGTGTGGAAGGTATGACTGTGGAAGGTATGGGTGTGGAAGGTATGGATGTGGAAGGTATGGGTGTGGAAGGTATGACTGTGGAAGGTATGGGTGTGGAAGGTATGGGTGTGGAAGGTATGGGTGTGGAAGGTATGACTGTGGAAGGTATGGGTGTGGAAGGTATGGCCGTGGAAGGTATGACTGTGGAAGGTATGGGTGTGGAAGGTATGGGTGTGGAAGGTATGGGTGTGGAAGGTATGGCCGTGGAAGGTATGGGTGTGGAAGGTATGGGTGTGGAAGGTATGGGTGTGGAAGGTATGACTGTGGAAGGTATGGGTGTGGAAGGTATGACTGTGGAAGGTATGGGTGTGGAAGGTATGGGTGTGGAAGGTATGGGTGTGGAAGGTATGGGTGTGGAAGGTATGGCCGTGGAAGGTATGGGTGTGGAAGGTATGGGTGTGGAAGGTATGGGTGTGGAAGGTATGACTGTGGAAGGTATGGGTGTGGAAGGTATGACTGTGGAAGGTATGGGTGTGGAAGGTATGACTGTGGAAGGTATGGGTGTGGAAGGTATGACTGTGGAAGGTATGGGTGTGGAAGGTATGGGTGTGGAAGGTATGGGTGTGGAAGGTATGGGTGTGGAAGGTATGGGTGTGGAAGGTATGACTGTGGAAGGTATGGGTGTGGAAGGTATGACTGTGGAAGGTATGGGTGTGGAAGGTATGACTGTGGAAGGTATGGGTGTGGAAGGTATGGGTGTGGAAGGTAAGGGTGTGGAAGGTATGGGTGTGGAAGGTATGGCCGTGGAAGGTATGGGTGTGGAAGGTATGGGTGTGGAAGGTATGGGTGTGGAAGGTATGACTGTGGAAGGTATGGGTGTGGAAGGTATGGCCGTGGAAGGTATGGGTGTGGAAGGTATGGGTGTGGAAGGTATGGGTGTGGAAGGTATGGCCGTGGAAGGTATGGGTGTGGAAGGTATGGCCGTGGAAGGTATGGGTGTGGAAGGTATGACTGTGGAAGGTATGGGTGTGGAAGGTATGGGTGTGGAAGGTATGACTGTGGAAGGTATGGGCGTGGAAGGTATGGGCGTGGAAGGTATGGGTGTGGAAGGTATGGGTGTGGAAGGTATGGGTGTGGAAGGTATGGATGTGGAAGGTATGGGTGTGGAAGGTATGGGTGTGGAAGGTATGGGTGTGGAAGGTATGACTGTGGAAGGTATAGGTGTGGAAGGTATGGGTGTGGAAGGTATGGGTGTGGAAGGTATGACTGTGGAAGGTATGGGTGTGGAAGGTATGGCCGTGGAAGGTATGGGTGTGGAAGGTATGACTGTGGAAGGTATGGGCGTGGAAGGTATGGGTGTGGAAGGTATGGGTGTGGAAGGTATGGGTGTGGAAGGTAAGGGTGTGGAAGGTATGGGTGTGGAAGGTATGGGTGTGGAAGGTATGGGTGTGGAAGGTATGACTGTGGAAGGTATGGGTGTGGAAGGTATGGATGTGGAAGGTATGGGTGTGGAAGGTATGACTGTGGAAGGTATGGGTGTGGAAGGTATGGGTGTGGAAGGTATGGGTGTGGAAGGTATGACTGTGGAAGGTATGGGTGTGGAAGGTATGGCCGTGGAAGGTATGACTGTGGAAGGTATGGGTGTGGAAGGTATGGGTGTGGAAGGTATGGGTGTGGAAGGTATGGCCGTGGAAGGTATGGGTGTGGAAGGTATGGGTGTGGAAGGTATGGGTGTGGAAGGTATGGGTGTGGAAGGTATGACTGTGGAAGGTATGGGTGTGGAAGGTATGGGCGTGGAAGGTATGGGTGTGGAAGGTATGGGTGTGGAAGGTATGGCCGTGGAAGGTATGGATGTGGAAGGTATGGGTGTGGAAGGTATGGGTGTGGAAGGTATGACTGTGGAAGGTATGGGTGTGGAAGGTATGACTGTGGAAGGTATGGGTGTGGAAGGTATGGGTGTGGAAGGTATGGGTGTGGAAGGTATGACTGTGGAAGGTATGGGTGTGGAAGGTATGGGTGTGGAAGGTATGGCCGTGGAAGGTATGGGTGTGGAAGGTATGGCCGTGGAAGGTATGGGTGTGGAAGGTATGGGTGTGGAAGGTATGGGTGTGGAAGGTATGGCCGTGGAAGGTATGGGTGTGGAAGGTATGGGTGTGGAAGGTATGACTGTGGAAGGTATGGGCGTGGAAGGTATGGGCGTGGAAGGTATGGGTGTGGAAGGTATGGGTGTGGAAGGTATGGATGTGGAAGGTATGACTGTGGAAGGTATGACTGTGGAAGGTATGGGTGTGGAAGGTATGGGTGTGGAAGGTATGGGTGTGGAAGGTATGGGTGTGGAAGGTATGGGTGTGGAAGGTATGACTGTGGAAGGTATGGGCGTGGAAGGTATGGGCGTGGAAGGTATGGGTGTGGAAGGTATGGGTGTGGAAAGGTATGGGTGTGAAAGGTATGGGTGTGGAAGGTATGGGTGTGGAAGGTATGACTGTGGAAGGTATGGGTGTGGAAGGTATGGGCGTGGAAGGTATGGGTGTGGAAGGTATGGGTGTGGAAGGTATGGGTGTGGAAGGTATGGCCGTGGAAGGTATGGGTGTGGAAGGTATGACTGTGGAAGGTATGGGTGTGGAAGGTATGACTGTGGAAGGTATGGGTGTGGAAGGTATGGGTGTGGAAGGTATGACTGTGGAAGGTATGGGTGTGGAAGGTATGGGTGTGGAAGGTACGAGTGTGGTAGGTATGGCTGCAGAAAGTCGTCCCGGTGCTGCATGGGGAGTGGATCCCCGAAGCATTTGGGGTGGCTGAAAATGAGAAGAAGGGTAGCAAAAAGTGCGGCCGGCATGCGGGGAATCCTGTAGGCAACGGGAGCCAGGGAGGACTCAGTTTTGCATTGTACAAATGGCATTTAACAAGTGGTGCCTGGAGCGGTCCGATTTGCAGGCAGTGAGGAGGCCAGGAGAGCCTGCGGGTTTCCAAGCAGGACCAGGGGAGGGCGCCAAGGAGTCGGCAGCTGCGAGAAATATTTGGGACAAGGTTTCTCACACTGGAGCCCGAGGGCCTCTAGGGAGTCCTAGGTTAAATTGGAGGAGTCTTCAAGTTTATCTGGAGAAAGGCCGTCTTAGGAAACAAGTCTCATTCCCTGAAAAGGGCTTTGCAGTTACTCATCTTCATTGCGCTGGACTTTTGTCTATTTTTTTTTTTTTTTTTTTGAGATGGAGTTTTCGCTCTTGTTGCCCAGGCTGGAGTGCAGTGGCGCGATCTCAGCTCACTGGAACCTCAGCCTCCCGGGTTCAAGCAATTCTCCTGCCTCAGCCTCCCGAGTGGCTGGGATTACAGGCATGCGCCACCACACCCGGCTAATTTTTGTATTTTAAGTAGAGACAGGGCTTCTCCATGTTGGTCAGGCTGGTCTCGAACTCCTGACCTCGTGATCCTCCCGCCTCAGCCTCCCAAAGTGCTGGGATTACAGGCGTGAGCCACCGCACCCAGCATAGACTTTTGTCTTTTAACCCTGAAAAGGATTGAGACTAAGAGATTGAGAATCGTTTGCTGGTATTCTGACAGCAGGACCTGTTTTTCTCCAAGCTGGGGAAGGATGAGAGGCGCAGTTTAGGGAGTAAAATGACCACATGCATTTAATGTGGGTGGAGAGGGAGCGAGAAGCACCCTAGATGGCTGCCTCTGGGGCCCTCGGGGAACACAGGACAGGTGTGGGCAGCCTGCGGGGAGCGCTCTGGGATCCCTTTCAGCCCTAAAGAAGGCCCAGGCCCACTTGGACTTCCTGCTCTTCTCTGTCCTGGCCCAGGAGTTTCCCTCTTCCCCTATGGGGCAGACGCCGGGGACCTGGAGTTCGTCAGGAGGACCGTGGACTTCACCTCCCCACTCTTCAAGCCGGCGACTGGCTTCCCCCTTGGCTCCTCTCTCCGTGATTCCCTCTACGTGAGTCCGGGCTGCGGCCCGCGCAGCCTGAACTCCCAGGGCCCACTTCTCTCTCCTGCTTCGAGACGGAACCCAGAGGAAGCGGGAATGGAAGCAGCCTTGGCTGGGCCCCTCGTCCATCCCCACAGCCTCCTTAATGTCAGGCCTCTGCCTGAGGAACACAGGGTGCCAGGCGAGGGCTGCCCACCTGCTGGGCCCACCGCTGCTTCTGCGGGGCCTTCTCAGGAGTAAAAAGCTACACTTGGGAAACTGGACTGTTCCTGCCGTTTCCACCTTCTGGGATTTGTCTCTGGCCCCCTGGTCCCTGCCTCCTGGAGCAGAGTTGGAGGGACAGTCCTGGCTCCTGTGGCCCTGAGGGAGGAGGCTGAGTCCGAACACAGCATGAGAGGGCGACTGAGCGATGGAGAGGGTGTCCACACCTGCTGAGCGATAGAGAGAGGGTGTCCACACCTGCTGAGCGATGGCGAGAGGGTGTCCACACCTGCTGAGCGATAGAGAGAGGGTGTCCACACCTGCTGAGCGATGGCGAGAGGGTGTCCACACCTGCTGAGCGATAGAGAGAGGGTGTCCACACCTGCTGAGCGATGGAGAGAGGGTGTCCACACCTGCTGAGTGATAGAGAGAGAGTGTCCACACCTGCTGAGCGATGGAGAGAGGGTGTCCACACCTGCTGAGTGAGAGAGAGGTTTCCACCCCCTAAGTGATGGAGATGGGGTGTCTGCACCCCTGAGTGATGGAGAGAGGGTGTCTACACCCCTGAGCGATGGAGGGGGGTGCCTACACCTGCTGAGCGATAGAGAGAGGTTTCCACCCCCTAAGTGATGGAGATGGGGTGTCTGCACCCCTGAGCGATGGAGAGAGGGTGTCTACACCTGCTGAGTGATAGAGAGAGGTTTCCACCCCCTAAGTGATGGAGATGGGGTGTCTGCACCCCTGAGCGATGGAGAGAGGGTGTCTACACCCCTGAGCGATGGAGAGGGGGTGTCTACACCCCTGAGCGATGGAGAGAGGATGTCTACACCCCGAACGATAGAGAGGGTGTCCACACCCCTGAGCGATGAAGGGAGGGTGTCTACACCCCTGAGCGATGGAGAGAGGGTGTCCACACCCCTGAGCGATGGAGAGAGGGTGTCTACACCCCTGAGCGATGGAGAGAGGGTATCTACACCCCTGAGCGATGGAGAGAGGGTGTCTACACCCCTGAGCGATGAAGGGAGGGTGTCTATAGCCCTGAGCACCCCTGAGCGATGAAGGGAGGGTGTCTATACCCCTGAGCGATGGAGAGAGGGTGTCTACACCCCTGAGCGATGGAGAGGGGGTGTCTACACCCCTGAGCGATGGAGAGGGGGTGTCTACACCCCTGAGCGATGGAGAGAGGGTGTCTACACCCCTGAGCGATGGAGAGAGGATGTCTACACCCCTGAGCGATGAAGGGAGGGTGTCTACACCCCTGAGGGATGGAGAGAGGGTGTCCACACCTGCTGAGTGATAGAGAGAGGTTTCCACCCCCTAAGTGATGGAGATGGGGTGTCTGCACCCCTGAGCGATGAAGGGAGGGTGTCTACACCCCTGAGGGATGGAGAGAGGGTGTCCACACCTGCTGAGTGATAGAGAGAGGTTTCCACCCCCTAAGTGATGGAGATGGGGTGTCTGCACCCCTGAGCGATGGAGAGAGGGTGTCTACACCCCTGAGCGGTGGAGAGAGGGTGTCTACACCCCTGAGCGATGAAGGGAGGGTGTCTACACCCCTGAGCGATGAAGGGAGGGTGTCTACACCCCTGAGCGATGGAGAGAGGGTGTCTACACCCCTGAGCGATGAAGGGAGGGTGTCTACACCCCTGAGCGATGAAGGGAGGGTGTCTACACCCCTGAGCGATGAAGGGAGGGTGTCTACACCCCTGAGCGATGGAGAGAGGGTGTCTACACCTGCTGAGCAATAGATAGAGGGTTCCACCCCCTAAGTGATGGAGATGGGGTGTCTGCACCCCTGAGCGATGGAGAGAGGGTGTCTACACCCCTGAGCGACGGAGGGAGGGCTCCACCCACTGAGCGATGGAGAGAGGGTTCCACTCCCTGAGCCCCACCTAATGTGTCGCAAACTTCAGGATGGGGCCCAGGGGACTGGCCAAGAGGGGTGTGCCTGTGAGGGGCTGGTCCACGGCCAGGGATCTGCAGTGAAACAGGACCAAGCCTACCACCCGAGGACGCAAGGGATGGCCTGAGGGCGGAGCATTCTGTGAGATTATATGGAAAGGGCTCTCCCCAAAACAGGACACAGGAGGTGACTTCCAGGGGTTGTTAGCATCTCTAAAGCTCTACCCTTGGGGGTCACGCTTTTGAGGAGCTGGACCAAGGCTGGGACTTTCCTCCCCACTTCCCTCCCTGAATGCTGACCACAAAACCCATGTGCTCAGTTCACAGACAATGGCCAGATCATCTTCCCAGAGTCAGACTACCAGATTTTCTCCTACCCCAACCCACTCCCAACAGGCTTCACAGGCCGGGACCCTGTGGCCCTGGTGGCTCCGTTCTGGGACGATGCTGACTTCTCCACTGGTCGGGGGACCACATTTTATCAGGTGAGCCTTTCAAAGCCTGGCAGTCAGGATCCCCCAGCAGCTGGCAGGGGAGACAAAGAGCTGTGTGGAAGGCTTTGCCAGAGTTGCTGCTGTGACAGCCCCTGCAGCAGGGGACTGAGGCTTAAATATGGGTGTGGGAGGAAGCAGTCAAGGGACATTAAGCTGACTCAGGAGTACCCCAACCCAACCACGAGACTGACCAGGAATACCCCAACCCAACCACGAGACTGACCAGGAATACCCCAACCCGGCCGCGAGACTGACCAGGAATACCCCAACCCAACCACAAGACTGACCAGGAATACCCCAACCCAACCACGAGACTGACCAGGAATACCCCAACCCAACCACGAGACTGACCAGGAATACCCCAACCCAACCACGAGACTGACCAGGAATACCCCAACCCAACCACGAGACTGACCAGGAATACACCAACCCAACCACGAGACTGACCAGGAATACCCCAACCCAACCACGAGACTGACCAGGAATACCCCAACCCGGCCGCGAGACTGACCAGGAATACCCCAACCCGGCCACGAGACTGACCAGGAATACCCCAACCCGGCCACGAGACTGACCAGGAATACCCCAACCCAACCACGAGACTGACCAGGAATACCCCAACCCAACCACGAGACTGACCAGGAATACCCCAACCCGGCCGCGAGACTGACCAGGAATACCCCAACCCGGCCACGAGAAGACCTACAGGTGACGGGGGATGGGGGCTGACAATTCAGCCTTTGATTGTAAAATCAGGCTGTAGGGGGTCTATCCTAACAAGAGTGAGTCAAGAGGGCCCGTCCTGTGCTCCTGGACTGGGTGAATAACTCCAATCAGAGGAAATGTGATGAAAGCTACTGCAGGAAGTGTGGACCGTGCCCCTGCCACGGACAGGGCAGTGTGGAGGCTCCAAGAGGAAGAGACTCACGCCTGTTCTCAAGAAGCTGCAGATTAGGCATGGGGAGGTAAAAGTGGGCCCGAGTGGCTCTGCTCTCTGGGCCAGTTTGAGCTAAGATGCTTGAGTTCAAGTCCAGAGGTCTTGGACGTCTGGGCCACGACCCTGCATTCTGCACACTGCAGGCCTTCCTGCAGCCCAAGTTTGAATTGAACTTCACCTCAGAAAAGCTCACGGCAAAAATGCAGGCCTGGGACAGGGGAGGGCAGGCCATTGGGTGGGCTGAAGTGGGCAGGGTCCTCAGGCAGAAAGTGGGGGGCCCATGTGTAGGAGTGGGACCCTCGTTGGCTTGTTTTCATCTGCCCTCCTTTCCTAGGAATACGAGACGTTCTATGGTGAACACAGCCTGCTAGTCCAGCAGGCCGAGTCTTGGATTAGAAAGATGACAAACAACGGGGGCTACAAGGCCAGGTGGGCCCTAAAGGTCACGTGGGTCAATGCCCACGCCTATCCTGCCCAGTGGACCCTCGGGGTGAGTAGACCCCTGGGCAGCTCCCAGGAGCTATCTGGGAGTCAGACATCCTAGAATCCTAGGCAGGGGCCACTCTTCCAAAATCCTCTCTGGCTCTAGGAAAGATTGCTAATTATAGCAAGCCCCCCCACCGCCACCCCCCCACTGCCACCACTGTTGGCTGAGCACTCACCGTGGGCCCGGCCTGTCTCGGCCCTTTGCCTACTTGACCTCACAGCAGCCCAGCAAACCGGGTATTATTAGGCTGAAACATAGCAAGTGGCATTTTTGTAAGTCAAAAATGTCTGGCTATTCACAATTTCACGTGGCTCAGTCTGGTATTATGCTCCCCATTTTACAGATGAGGAAGACAATGGTTAGAGAGGTTAAGTAACTCGTTCAGAGTCACGCCACTGGCAAATGGCAAAGCCAGGCCTGAGTGGAGCTTCTTCTGACTCCAGCCTCTGGCTCTGAAGCACAGGCTCATCCAACGGGCACAGGGTGCGCCACACCATCTCCTCTGTCCTCCCTCCGAGGACCCCGCTCTTGTAGTCACCAAGTTCTTCCTTATGCCTGGTCTAAAGTCACTCATTTCTTCATTCACTCGACAAAAGTTCACTGGTCACCTACTGTGGACAACGTGTGCGCCTTCAGTGAACCCCAGTGTCATCCATGCTGTTTAGATGGAGGAGACAATTTGGGCAATGTCCTTAAATATCCGCGCGGGAGCTAATGAAGCCTCCTCTCTAGCTCTCTGGTATCTTGGCTGATCTCAGGTTCTGGTAGCTTTCTCTAACAAACACTCATCTAACTGAATTGTAACCCAGAACCCTTTATCTCCCCTCCTGGAAGAAAGTCACCAAAAGGCAAATCCACCGTGGTAAGTGCGTTCGCACCCAGGGTGAAAGCTGCCCTCACTGACCCAAAACTTGCCAGCATTTTGGGCCCATGTCTTTGCTGTGGGCAGACCAGGAACAGGTGCTGTGCGTGTCAGAGCAGGGCTGTGGGACGGGCGGGGGGACATAAGAGAGGAGACCCCGGATCTCTCACGGGCATCCCTGTGTTTTCTTCCACCCACCCCCAGAGCAACACCTACCAAGCCATCCTCTCCACGGACGGGAGCAGGTCCTATGCCCTGTTTCTCTACCAGAGCGGTGGGATGCAGTGGGACGTGGCCCAGCGCTCAGGCAACCCGGTGCTCATGGGCTTCTCTAGGTAGGATGGGAGGGGCTGTCAGCACTGAGCAGTTGGCAGGGAGGGGTGTAGAGTCGGCTTTCGCTGCACACACACTCCCATCCTGGGGCAAGGCGGGAACCCTCCTGGCTGGTGCTTCTGACTCACGCTGACTCCAGCTCCCGCTGGGGCCAGGCATCTGGCTGCTTCCCACGACAAGATCACCCATTTGTCCGCCATGCCCTTTCCCATCCCAGTCCCCGTGAGTTGTAATCATTCCCAGAGCTTTGGCTTCCCTGATTTCCACTGACATTAGCTGGCCTCTCTTACCTTCTCAAATATCGTGATAATAACAGCCAAGACTGATGACACTAACACTTCGTGTACATTACTGCATGTCATGATCACAGCCACCCCACGAGGCAGATACTATTTATCATCCCCATTCTACAGATCAGGAAACTGAGATACAAATAGACTAGCAATTTGCCTAAAGTCCCAGAGCTGGGAAGTGGCAACATGGAGATTTGAACCCAGACATCTGAGGCTAGAATCTGCCTTCCTGACTTCCTGAGAATTACCCACTTATCCAGGGGGCACCCAAAAGCTTATATGGAGCCGGTGGTGAAGGGAGAGAGGAGGCACGGGGCTGTGGGCGGTTGAAATGTGGATTCCCGTGTGTGGGAGGCTGTCTCCGATGTAGCAGTGCGCCATCTCTGTTCCCATATGCTGGGGTGTGGCAATCAGTACGAAGGCCACATGTCTTTTGTTCTTGATAATTGCTGCAAATGTCTTCTCTTACATTGAGTGTGTTCAGGTTACCCCTTTGATTACACTGCTTTCACTAGTTTCTTGGTGTGCTATGAAGGAGAAAGGAGGGGAATTACCCAACTCTAGGAATTTCACACGGTCCAGGTACACCCAAGGAAGGTGTCACGCAGGGGTGCATCATCCTGCTTGTGTCAGGGAGGAGGAAAAGCCCAAGAGTCCCCACTCTGCAGCAGGCACCCAGGGTGGGGCTGCAGGCGGCTGCTCCAGGCTTTCCTCCTTCCCGGGCCATGCTCGGACCCCACACCTGGGGACGGTGATGGCGATAGTGGTGGTGGTGGTGGTGGTGGTGGTGGTAGTGGCGGTGGAGGTGGCAGTGGCGATGGTGATGGTGGTGATGGTGGTGGTGATGGTGGTGATGGTGGTGGTGTTGGGGGTGATGGTGGCGATGGTGGTGGTGGTGATGGTGGTGGTGGTGGTGATGGTGGTGATGATGGTGGTGGCAATGATGGTGGTGATGGTGGTGGTGGTGGTGATGGTGGTGGTGGCGATGGTGATGGTGGTGGTGATGGTGGTGGTGGCCGATGGTGGTATTTTTTGGGGGGTGGCCAGTGATGGTGGTGATGGTGATGGTGGTGGTGGTGGTGGTGGCGATGGTGGTGGTGATGGTGGTGATGGTGGTGGCAATGGTGATGATGGTGGTGGTGGTGATGGTGGTGGTGATGGTGGTGGCAATGGTAATGGTGATGGTGATGATGGTGGTGGCGATGGTGGTGGTGATGGTGATGGTGGTGGTGATGGTGATGGTGGTGGTGATGGTGATGGTGGTGGTAGTGTTGGTGGTGGTGGTGGTGATGGTGATGGTGATGGTAGTGTTGGTGGTGACGATGATGGTGGTGGTGGTGGTAGTGCTGGCGATGGTGGTGGTGGTGGTAGCAGCAGTGGCAGCATCTGTTGTATCAAGGCCTCACTCAGTTCTGAGGGATTTGCAGATGTTACTGCATTTAATCCTCACAATACAGTGAGGTAGATGCCACTGTAATCCCTTTTATACAGATGTGAAAACTAAGAATCAGAGAGGGTCAGTAACTTGTCTGTGGTCACCAAGCTAGTAAGTGGGGGGATCAGCAGTTGAATCCATCACTGCCTAACTCCAGAAACTGGGTCTTAACCATCACAATACACTGTCCCTAGAGTCTGTCCCGCTCCAAACCCTCTGCTTGTTGAAGGGAAACAAACAGAAATGAGGCCTGAACTCTGTTGTTTTCACGCCCCTGTCTCATGACCAAGCGGACCTGCCAGTTTCTTGCAGCTAGCGATCAGATGTGGAATCGGTTAGAGCCTCCTACCTCTGCCCAGCCATCTTGTCCCCTCTCCTGCTCAGTGCTGGGGCTTGACGATGGGGGCTGGCTGACCCACTGACCCACTGCCCGCCTAGCTGGTTGACCAGCTGCTGACCGGCTAGCGGGATGAATGGACGCCTTGCAACCGCGAGGCAAGAGCCTGTGCACGGCAGAGGCCTGAGAGTCTCTCCTTTCCTGCAGTGGAGATGGCTATTTCGAAAACAGCCCACTGATGTCCCAGCCAGTGTGGGAGAGGTATCGCCCTGATAGATTCCTGAATTCCAACTCAGGTAAAAGTGCCACCTTATCACACCTGAGCTGGTCTCAAGCCCTCGCGTGTCCTCCAGCCCATACACCATCGCAGTCCTAGAGGGCACCTCCCTAACATCACGGCCATCCTGAAGGGCCTCCCCCACACAGTTCAACCTCCTACAGGTCTAGGTGGGATGTGGCACCACCCAGGGAGCAGCTGGCACCTCCTGCACCCCTGGACACAGCACAGTCTCAGAGGGGGCTACATCTCCTCCCTCAGATGAACCAGCCCAAGAGGGCTCTCGGGGGGCCCAGATCCTGGAAGTGAGGACAGGGTCTTGTGGGAGGTGGGATTTGAATGGGCAGTTCAGACAATACTCCAAGTGTCCTGTCCAGAGCAGGAATGAGAACCCAGGTGAGATCCTTTAAGAAAATCTACCGGCTGGGCGCCATGGCTCACACCTGTAATCCCAGCATTTTGGGAGGCTGAGGTGGGCGGATCACTTGAGATCAGGAGTTCGAGACCAGCCTGGCCAACATGGTGAAATTCTGTCTCTACTAAAAATACAAAAATTAGCCAGACGTTGTGGTGCACACCTGTAATTCCAGCTACTCAATAGGTTGAGGCAGGAGAATTGTTTGAACCTGGGAGGTGGAGGTTGCAGCGAGCCGAGATCGCGCCACTGCACTCCAGCCTGGGTGACAGAGTGAGACTCCATCTCAAAAAGAGAGAATCCACCAAGAAGAGGCCCGGGGGTCTCACGTTCATTGTCATCATTTACTGGGCACCTGCCGTGTGCTGGACACCGTGCTAACAGCCAGAAACAAAGGAAAAAGACCAACTGTGTTTTCTCTCAAAGAGCTTTCATGCGGGTAGAAAGACAAGCGTCAAGAGGCAAACAATGGCGCCTTCTCCATGACTCAGTCCAGAGGCCCCAATGGGAAAGAAATAATAGTTTCCAAAATGTGATAGGTTGAAGGACATTTTAGCCTTAGAAACCAGCCACGTGAACTGTGAAGTGTAAATCCAGTTCTATTTGTTCTGTGGCAACCACGTTTGGTCGTCAGAAGCAGACGCTAAGTCAAGCGAGGGGCTTTGGGGGAGGAATTGTTGCCCATCTGACTTGGGTCCAAAGAGGTGAGAAGTGGCAGGAGGGGGTGCATTTGTGAGTTTTGGTTGACCCTAAAGCTGAGACAGGGCCTGCAGCCCCAGCCCTGGATAAGCCCTTTCCCCCCCATCCCCGACCTCAGGCCTCCAAGGGCTGCAGTTCTACAGGCTACACCGGGAAGAAAGGCCCAACTACCGTCTCGAGTGCCTGCAGTGGCTGAAGAGCCAGCCTCGGTGGCCCAGCTGGGGCTGGAACCAGGTCTCCTGCCCTTGTTCCTGGCAGCAGGGACGACGGGACTTACGATTCCAACCCGTCAGCATAGGTGACACCTCCTTCCCGCCCCCCACAAGCCCACCCACCACCCTCTCTGCTCACGCCCTCAGCCTCTCCCCAGAAACAGCCCCTGCTTGTTCCCACCCCGCCCCTGGCAGCCCCAGCCTGGGCCTGAGTGGGACTGGACTTGTTTCAGGTCGCTGGGGCCTCGGCAGTAGGCAGCTGTGCAGCTTCACCTCTTGGCGAGGAGGCGTGTGCTGCAGCTACGGGCCCTGGGGAGAGTTTCGTGAAGGCTGGCACGTGCAGCGTCCTTGGCAGTTGGGTGCGTGAGTCCGTGATCTCAACCCCACCTTCCCGGCCAAGTAGGGGACCCTCAGCATGAAGCCTCTCGTCCTCATTCCTTCCCAGACCCTTCCCCTCTCTGGGCCTCCACTTCCTGATCGGGTAACGTTAGGAAGCTTCCAACATCCCCACCAGCGGACATTCGGGGATGTATGAGCTGAGAGCCTCTTTCCTCATCTCTATACCTGGCTCCACATCCCCAGGCCAGAGTGGGGCCATTTCTCCAGGCAAGAAGAGAGCGCCTAGGCTGACCCCGTCCCTGTAGACCCAGATGAGCAGGATGTTTGGGGGAAGACTGAGAGTCAGCTCCCACAGAGACGCTCCAAGGGAGCTGGAGAGCGCAGGGGTGTGGGGTCACGTGGTCTGTGTCCTCCCGTTCTCTCCCCCGTCCCATGGCAGTTTCCACAGTTCCCAGACCGTCAGCCGTGCCCTCCCCACTCCCAGCACGTTGAGAGCAGCAGTACTTGGCTCTCCACCCTCAAGACAGGAAATTTGCTTAGCTCCTACCATGCGCCCTGCTGCACAGTGGCCCCAATGCCTGCAAAAGAGACAGCACCCTATTCACTGCCCAAGGTCATGAGAAGGGCCATGCTGGATTCCAAAGCCATGCTCTTGCCACCAACACCGCCCTGCCCTACCAAGCTCTCCACCAACACCGCCCTGCCCTGCCAAGCTCTCCACCAACACCGCCCTGCCCTGCCAAGCTCTCCACCAACACCGCCCTGCCCTGCCAAGCTCTCAACCAACACCACCCTGCCCTGCCAAGCTTCTCCAGGTCCTCAACCTCCCCGACTCACTGCTGTTCTCCGCAGCCCAGGAACTGGAGCCACAGAGCTGGTGCTGCCGCTGGAATGACAAGCCCTACCTCTGTGCCCTGTACCAGCAGAGGCGGCCCCACGTGGGCTGTGCTACATACAGGCCCCCACAGCCCGGTGAGCGACAGGGCCCAGGCCCAGGAAGAGCCTCTGGGGAGGGGGAGCTTCTGGGCTTCCGGGAGGTGGCATCTGGATAAGGAGTAGGGGCAGAGCTGTGGCCACAAGGGAAGATGGAGATGACGCCAGTGATGGGTGGATGGTCAGTGGAGGGGCTTTGTACCTGAGTTGGGGAAGGAGTGAGAATAGCGGGGCACGAAAATGCAAGGAGGCTTGAGGGGAGGATTCTGTGCTCTGTGAACATCTCCCCAGCTGAGTCCGCCCGGACAAGTGCCCCAGTCGACTGCAGTGAGGAACCTCACCCTGAGTCCTCCTGGACAAGTGCCGCACCTGACTGCAGTGAGGAACCTCAGCCCTACACATGATTTGTCATGCTGAGGCAGCATCTCTTTTTTCCTTCCAGCCTGGATGTTCGGGGACCCCCACATCACCACCTTGGATGGTGTCAGTTACACCTTCAATGGGCTGGGGGACTTCCTGCTGGTCGGGGCCCAAGACGGGAACTCCTCCTTCCTGCTTCAGGGCCGCACCGCCCAGACTGGCTCAGCCCAGGCCACCAACTTCATCGCCTTTGCGGCTCAGTACCGCTCCAGCAGCCTGGGCCCCGTCACGGTGAGTGAGGGGTGCCGGGAACCTCCCTGCATTCCACCCACAGGGACCTTCAGCCACATACTGAGGCCGAGGAGAAGGAAGAGAGCGAAGGAGGGGAAGCCGGGCAGGAGGGAGGGAGGACACAGCCCATCCACGCAGCTGTCCCGGAGTAAATCCTGGGGATGGTGGATTAGGGCTCTGGCCCCACGGTTTCCCAGCTGCTTGGCTTCGAAGAAACTACTTAATTTGGTTTTCTCCTAGTAAGAATGGGGATGACATTACCTGCCTCACGGGCTGTTGTAAGAGCTAAAGGGCATAATCCGAAAACCATGCCTGGCCCTGCCGAGCACACGGTAGACGGCGGCTGGCATCACCTCAGGCCGCGGCCTCCAGCGCCTTCCTCCCGGCCCAGGGCGCAGCTTCCAGCCCCAGGGGCTCTCCCAGCTGCTTTCCTGGGCGTCGGCTCCACCTGCGGGTCGGGCTCAGGCCCCCTCCCATCTCCTTCCAGGTCCAATGGCTCCTTGAGCCTCACGACGCAATCCGTGTCCTGCTGGATAACCAGACTGTGACATTTCAGCCTGACCATGAAGACGGCGGAGGTAGGTTGGGGAGCGCCGGCCGCCCCCTCCCCGCACCGGGAGCAGCGAGGTGGGCGGGAAGCCGCGTTGCGGTGCAGGGCCGGGCGCGTGGCGGTGCAGGGCCGGGTGCGTTGTGGTGCAGGGCCGGGCGCGTGGCGGTGCCGCGCCGAGTGCTTTGCGGTGCAGGGCCGGGTGCGTTGTGGTGCAGGGCCCGGTGCGTGGCGGTGCAGGGCCCGGTGCGTGGCGGTGCAGGGCCGGGTGCGTGGCGGTGCAGGGCCGGGTGCGTGGCGGTGCAGGGCCCGGTGCGTTGCGGTGCAGGGCCGGGTGCGTTGCGGTGCAGGGCCCGGTGCGTGGCGGTGCAGGGCCGAGTGCGTTGTGGTGCCGGGCCCGGTGCGTGGCGGTGCAGGGCCCGGTGCGTGGCGGTGCAGGGCCAAGAGAGCGCAGCCTCTACCCCCGAGCGGGGCGTGCAGCTCGCCGGCCTCTTCTCCGCCTCCAGTGCAGACCCCTCCCGGCTTCAGCCCCAGGGGCGGGGTGGGGGTGGTGCGGGCCCGGCAGGGCGCGGGTTTGGTGCGGGCCGTGGTGCCGACCTGGCTTCCTCTCCGCTGCCTCCCGATGCTCCAGGCCAGGAGACGTTCAACGCCACCGGAGTCCTCCTGAGCCGCAACGGCTCTGAGGTCTCGGCCAGCTTCGACGGCTGGGCCACCGTCTCGGTGATCGCGCTCTCCAACATCCTCCACGCCTCCGCCAGCCTCCCGCCCGAGTACCAGAACCGCACGGAGGGGCTCCTGGGTGAGGGCGGCTCGGACCTGCCTCTGAGGCTCCGCGGAGCCAGCCGGAGCTCGGACCCCCACGCCGGCGGCCCGGGCAGCCCTGCTCGGCCTCCCTTTCTCCGCCTCCTTGGAGCAGAACCCTTGGGGCACAGAGCGGG
This sequence comes from Homo sapiens, assembly GCF_000001405.40. Classification (NCBI taxonomy): domain Eukaryota; kingdom Metazoa; phylum Chordata; class Mammalia; order Primates; family Hominidae; genus Homo; species Homo sapiens. Next base: position 132,444 of record NT_187532.1, on the reverse strand, counting down.
CCGGGAGCCGAGGGGCTTCTCCAGCCTCCCCCGAGGCTCCCTTCCTGTCCTCCGCCCGCTCTAAGGGAGCATCAGGGGGGGCTGCGGGGAGGCGGGGGGCACAGCCATCCTTTCTCCCTTTCCTCTTGCCTCCCACATCCTCCCGCCCTCCTCCACCGCTGCCCGCGTTTCCTCCCGCCCCTCCCGAAGGCAGACGGGCAGGGTGTGAGGGCCCGTCCTCCCGGCTCCCCTGGAGGCCTGACAGCAGGTGCAAGAGCAGAGGCTGCCAGGCCCTGGCCTCTCCCCACTGCGTCCGCCGGATGCTCCCCAGGAAGGGGACAGCCGCGTGCCCAGGGTGGCCAACCTCCCACTCTGTCCCTCAGGGGTCTGGAATAACAATCCAGAGGACGACTTCAGGATGCCCAATGGCTCCACCATTCCCCCAGGGAGCCCTGAGGAGATGCTTTTCCACTTTGGAATGACCTGTGAGTCTGGGCAGGGTCCTGGGGCAGAGGGGCAGGTGAGGGGAGCCGGTATGTTTATGTCGTCCCCCTCGGCCCTGTAGGAAGCAGACCTCCATCCTCCCTAAGGTCTGAGGAATCTGTGCCCCCCCAGGGCTGTCCCCACCACCACCAGCCCACCTGCCTCTCTCTACCTGGAGGAGAGAATGGGGGACGTGGAGTGTCCTCTCTCACTGCAGCAGGTGTTTCTAGACTCAGAAGCTGGAAACCGCTCTGGCCCTGCACTCCCACCGCCCCGCTCCAAGCCATCTAAAGTGAGGGGTAGAGGTGGACACAGATGGAATAAGGCTGAGTGCCATGCCTGGTACCACCGCGCTCTGTGTGTTACAGGGCAGATCAACGGGACAGGCCTCCTTGGCAAGAGGAATGACCAGCTGCCTTCCAACTTCACCCCTGTTTTCTACTCACAACTGCAAAAAAACAGCTCCTGGGCTGAACATTTGATCTCCAACTGTGACGGAGATAGCTCATGCATCTATGACACCCTGGCCCTGCGCAACGCAAGCATCGGACTTCACACGAGGGAAGTCAGTAAAAACTACGAGCAGGCGAACGCCACCCTCAGTAAGTGGCCCGAGGCCTGGGGAGGCCTTTTCAGAGTCGGGAGCAGATGAGGAGCTGCCCTTGCCTGACCCTGCTTTTCCCTGTGCATCTGCATTCACTGAGCAGATTCTTCCACTCCTGGCATTCCTCTGCTCAAACCCTTCAGAGACTTCCCTGGCTCTCTCCATCCTTGCAGTGGCCTTCGGCCCAGTTCAGCTTCTCAGAGCTCTTCTCCTAGTGCTGGACGCCTTCCCAGCCCCCTCCGTCCATCCTAGCGCTGGATGCCTTCCCAGCCCCCTTCACTCCATACTAGCGCTGGACGCCTTCCCAGCCCCCTCCACTCCATCCTAGCGCTGGACCCCTTCCCAGCCCCCTCCATCCATCCTAGCGCTGGATGCCTTCCCAGCCCCCTCCACTCCATCCTAGCGCTGGACCCCTTCCCAGCTCCCTGCACTCCAGCCCCGCAGGCTCCTCTGTGTTCTTCAAACACGCTAGGTGCGCTCAGCTCCCAGGCTTCACACGTGCTGTTCTCTTGCCTGGAATACCCTTCCTTCCCTGGACAGCCACACGCTTGCCCCTCACCTTCTTTACGTCTTCATTCCAATGTCCCCTCCTTGGTGAGGCCTCTCTTGGCCGCCCTGTCTAAAATGTCACATTCACCCACACTTCATGTTTGCCTTCCCTGCTTTATTTTTTTCTCCTTAGCATTTATAATTACTCAACATATTTTATAATTTTCACAGGTATCTTTTTAATTATTCATTCATGACTGTATCCTCACCACCCAGAACAGTGCCAGCCACTTAGCTCAATAAATGTTTGTTAAATGACTGACTGAATGAATGTGTGAAGCAACTATGAAATGGAAATGGCAGGGCTCCGAGAAACAGACCCGTGAAGAGGTTTCACTCCCTCTCTATTTCTGGACAAATGCAATGTCCCTTTAGATGTGACCCTCCAGGTTTTGTGCGTGTGTGTGTGTGTGTTGACGGAGTTTCGCTCTTGTTGCCCAGGCTGGAGTGCAGTGACGTGATCTCGGCTCGTCGCAACCTCTGCTTCCCGGGTTCAAGCGATTCTTCTGTTTCAGCCTCCTGAATAGCTGAGATTACAGGCACCCGCCACCATGCCTGACTAATTTTGTATTTTTAGTAGAGACAGGGTTTCACCATGTTGGTCAGGCTGGTCGCGAACTCCTGACCTCAGGTTATCCACCGGCCTCGGCCTCCCAAAGTGCTGGGATTACAGACATGAGACACCCAGCACCCTTCAGGTTTTCAGCCCTTTGCCAAAGGTACAACCCTTTGGTCTAAGGGTACAACCCTTTGTAATGGTCCAAACAAATCTGCTCTCTAATTCACTTTTTGTCATACCCAGCATAGCACTGTGTTCAGGAAAGAATCTGAAAGGAGCTCTTTTTGAGGAGGTGGGGGGAGAGAAAGAGGCTAAAGATTTGGCTAGGTGGGCAGTACAGTCCCAGCCTGCTGTGCGTCAGTCGAGAGCAGGTACACAGAATAATTCCTTCTTCCAGAGGTGGGTCACAGTCCTGGGAATGCCTCACACATATTAGAGTTGAGAAAGAGAGGAGGCTGATAAAGCAGGAGACTGTCCTGCCTCGGAACCCCCATTCCCTCTTTGTGTTTCAGATCAGTACCCGCCCTCCATCAATGGTGGTCGTGTGATTGAAGCCTACAAGGGGCAGACCACGCTGATTCAGTACACCAGCAATGCTGAGGATGCCAACTTCACGCTCAGAGACAGCTGCACCGACTTGGAGCTCTTTGGTAGGACTATTTGGCTGGCTGGGGAGAGTGGGGAGGTGGGTAGGGGATGAGGTCAGAGTCAAATTTGGGAAATTCTGCATTGCTACACCCAGCAACACTTGCTGTCACTCTTTCATTTGAATATCCAGGACCGGCATTTCCGAGGAGCGATATCTATAACTCAAATAGGTGCCCCCCAGTAAGTAGTAGTGACGGGCTTACGGCGGTTTGGCCAGATAGCTAGAGTGACTCTGGGCACATAGAACTGATTCAAGGCTGGGCGCGGTGGCTCATGCCTGTCATCCCAGCGCTTTGGGAGGCCGAGGTGGGCGGATCATCTGAGGTCAGGAGTTCGAGACCAGTCTGGCCAACATGGTGAAACCCCGTCTGTACTAAAAATACAAAAAAAAAAAAAAAAGCCAGGCATGGTGGTGCATGCCTGTAATCCCAGCTACTCAGGAGACTGAGGCAGGAGAATCGCTTGAACCCAGGAGGCAGATGTTGCAGTGAGCTGAGATCGCGTCACTGCACTCCAGCCTGGTGACAGAGCGAGACTCTGTCTCAAAAAAAAGATTTGAAGATCATTTAATCTCAATCTGATCATATATAGTCATCTTTAGTCATTATGCATTCACCAAATTATTAGAATAATCAAGTGCAACATTTAAAATGACCAATTTACAACATTTTTATATCTATTAAAGGAAGGCTCTAATGTAGGACAAGATTTAAAGAAATATGAAAAATACTTTCGTTTGGTACCTTTCTTGCTCTTTTTGTCTGGCAACCATGTTTACCTAGCCGTGTCTCTCCTTGTCTGGTTTCCTGGGCTAGGACCCAGTAGAGTGCCATCGCTCCCTCTCCGTAAAGGTGTTAGAGACCCCGAGCCCTACATCCATGATCAGGGCCAAAGGCTCCAAGCACAAGGGACGCTGCTTTCGTCTGTTGCCAGCACTAATTCAAAGGGTCCAAGGGCATCAAAGGGATGCCACTTTCTGTCTGTTGCCAGCACTAATTCTGAGGGTGACTGTTCTTGGCTAAACCAAAGCCCCGGGGGGCATATTTTGCGTTCTCTTTGCCTCTCTGCCTGATGTTCTTTCTCTCTGTGTCTCAGAAGGGACTGCTTTGCCTGCATCCCTTTTGCCCCATGTGCGTCCTCCCAGGTGCGAGACAATGGCACTGAGAGGTTTTCTTCTCCACGGGCCCCACCCCTGAAGGACGATGGTCTGGAAATTACGTTCGTCTATTCTCTGTCACTTCCTTTCAATCTGCTGTTTTAAGGAGACTTTCCTATTTTCTTGAAAAATATCAGTTTGATCTGAAGATATGTAGTAGTGTTTCACTACAGTCTGGTGTCTGAAGGGGGTGTCTGGGAAAGGTCCAGGAAGTGGGGGGTGGGTGAGAAATCAGGGCAAAGGATGGGGCTGCCGTGAGAGTGAAGCCAGTTTGGCCGGCAGCGCAGCCTGGGGAGGTGTCTGGAGGATCCTGGCCTTGATCCTCCATCCCCCAGGATGTCCCATCCTGGTGTGAGCCCAGCCAGGGCTGCCCTTTGGGGTTTCTTCAGGAGGAAACTGCTTTCCCCTCTGTGGCGTTCCCCGCTACAATCAGTATGTTGGACTGGTGCCACGTCCTTCCAGCTGGGAGCGTGACCAGGATCACCCCCGATACCAGCCTTGCTCAAAGGAAATGACCAATGAGATTTGTCTGGGGAGGGGGAGGGTGGCCTGAGAGGGGTGGGGGAAGCCCCGTATCAGCAATCAGACCACAGAGCCGAGGAGTCTCCCAGCTCTCAACATTCTCATCTTCCCCGGGGCAGAGAATGGGACGTTGCTGTGGACACCCAAGTCGCTGGAGCCATTCACTCTGGAGATTCTAGCAAGAAGTGCCAAGATTGGCTTGGCATCTGCACTCCAGCCCAGGACTGTGGTCTGCCATTGCAATGCAGAGAGCCAGTGTTTGTACAATCAGACCAGCAGGGTGGGCAACTCCTCCCTGGAGGTGAGTGTTGGGAGGTGGGGGAGGAGTTTCTGTGCCGAGGGGAGAGGAAATGGGAGTGGAATGGATGCTGTGATTCTGCCTGTCCTGGGTGTGTCTGTGTTGGGAGATGGGTGGAGCAGTGGTAGGTGAGTAGAGCAGATTCCAGTCTCAGGCCACAAACTCACATGGGAAGAAAGAGAACTTTCTGGCCGGGTGCAGTGGCTCACGCCTTTAATCTCAGCACTTTTGGAGGCTGAGGCAAGCGGATCACAAGGTCAGGAGATCGAGACCATCCTGACCAACATGGTGAAACCCCATCTCTACTAAAAATACAAAAATTAGCTGGGCGTGGTGGCAGGCGCCTGTAGTCCCAGCTACTCGGGAGGCTGCGGCAGGAAAATCGCTTGCACCCGGGAGGTGGAGGTTACAGTGAGCCAAGATTGCGCCATTGTACTCCAGCCTGGGCAACAGAGTGAGACTCTATGTCAAAAAGAAAGAAAAGAAAAGAAAAGAAAAGAAAAGAAAGAAAGAAGGAGGGAAAGAAAGGAAAGGAAAGAAAGGAAAGGAAAGAAAGGGAAAGGAGAAAAAGAAAGAAAGAAAGAAACTATATTGGAGAAAAAGAAGGACGAAAGAAAGAAAAAGGAAGGAAGGAAGGAAAGAGGAAAGAACCTTACTTTATTGCTTATAGTTCAACTGGATTTTTATCTCCCACCTCCCCTTCTGCCAGGTTGGCAGGAAACTTCCACCTCCGTCTTTCTCACAGCGCCCCACAGCTCTGCGGCGAAGCCCAGCAGAGGGCCCTGCGGTGTGGGGTGGAAGGTGGTTGTGGGTCCCTGGGCGTGAGTCCACACAGGTTTCCATCACAGCTCCGCCCCACTTCCCCTTCAGACCCAGGGAGAGGCTCTGCTGCTTCTGTGCCTTGCTCAGACACAGGACACCTTTTCTGAGGCCGCTTACAGTCCTGTCTGCCTAGAAGCACCCCACAGTCATTTCTCCCTAGGATGTCATCATCACGGTGCTGGGAAGAGAGCTGCGGGTCCCTCTATCTTGACACCTCCAAGCCCCTTTGCTTTCTCTTTTACTATCTCCTTCCAGCTAAAAGAAACATCTTTTCCAGTTTGGAGAAACTACTTCTCCATGTTTCTAGCCAAGATACTTGGCCTAATTCCACGACTCTTGTCCTATCTGCTTTTTTATTTTTATTTTTGGTTGTAAAGGAAGAGCCAGAAAGGAAAGTGTTTATCTGGCAACACAAAACTACCTCCTTCACCACTTACACACACACGCATGCACACGCACACACAGACACACACACACATCCTTCTGAAGCATGAGCAGAGAATGGGTACTCGAAAGGGATAGAGGTAGGGACGGTTGGTGGGGTAGGGGGTAGAAAAGCATAAAATACACAATGGGAAAAAGAGATTGAAATCAATATACTATTCCACAGATCCCCAAATATCCACTCTTGGGAGTAGCAAGTGTTAGAGGATTCCATTTTAGGGAGATTCCCCGAGTCGCTTCAGTAAGGGAGTTAGAAAGGGGAGCGCAGGGAGCTTGGTGAGGTCTCGGCGCCGCAGCCTTTGCTGAGCTGCTGTACTGGCTGCTGTGTTTTCTCACAGTGCTCAGCAGGGAGGCTCTGTCTTCTTGGTTTGGGAGTCAGCAAGGGAGGTCAATTTCAGCTTATATGAAATCCAGTTTGCAGGCCACATAGGAGCCTGAGGCAGGCGGATTGCTTGAGCTCAGGACTTTGAGACCAGCCTGGGCAATATGGCAAGACCCTGTCTCTACTAAAAATCAAAAAATTAGCTGGGCGTGGTGGCATATGCCTGTAATCTCAAGTATTTGGGAGGCTGAGGCACAAGAATTGCTTTAACTTGGGAGGGGGACATTGCAGTGAGCCGAGATCGAGACACTGCACTGCAGCGTGGGAAACAGAACGAGACTGTCTCATTAAAAAAAAAAGCAGAAGAAAAATACAAAAATTAGTGGGCGTGGTGGTGCATGCCTGTAGCCCCAGCTCCTCGGGAGGCTGAGGTGGGAGGATGGCTTGAACCTGGGAGGTGGAGTTTGCAGTGAGCCAAGATCAAGACATTGCACTCCAGCCTGGGCAACCGAGTGGGACCCTGTCTCAAAATAAATAAGGAATCCAGTTTTCAAGCAATAGGACATACATGGATACATACACACATGGATACATACACACATGGATACACACATATGGATACATACATGGATACATGCATACATGCATGACACACACATACATACATGGATACATACATGGATACATACATTGATACATATCTACATGGATACATACATGATACATACACACATGGATACACACATGGATACATACATGCATACATGCATGGATACACACATACATACATGGATACATACATACATGGATACATACATCTATACATGGATACATTCATTCATTCATTCATGCTTCAATCATTCATGCATCCCCCATCTTACTCTAGAAAGGATTTCAGGCAAAGAGCTAGAGTGTGAGAGGGAAGAGGCTGAGATCCTGGTGCAGGGCCAGGCAGGGGGTCAGGGTAAACAATGACCCAGGGAGGCCAGCTGGGCAGGACTACCGTGTGGCTTTAGGCAGGGCCTTGCCGCCCCACGGCCTGGTCAAGAAGGTGCTCAGCAGGTGCTGGTGGGGCTGAGACATGACTCAGGGTCCACGGGTTCTCAGGCCAAAGGGGTCAGTCAGAAACACCCAGAAGCCCTTCCCAGTTTGGTCTCCTGGCCGCCCGTGATCGGCAACCCTCCTCCAGGTGGCTGGCTGCAAGTGTGACGGGGGCACCTTCGGCCGCTACTGCGAGGGCTCCGAGGATGCCTGTGAGGAGCCGTGCTTCCCGAGTGTCCACTGCGTTCCTGGGAAGGGCTGCGAGGCCTGCCCTCCAAACCTGACTGGGGATGGGCGGCACTGTGCGGGTGAGCCGGGAACAGGGCCTGGAGCAGGCGCTTCTGGGAGCAGCTGATAGCTCAAGGGTGTAGACAGCCAAAGGCAAACCATTTCTCTCCTTTTTCCAGCAGATCTTTAGAATGCTCAATCTAGGCAGGTGTGGGAAATCTAGGCAGGTGTGGGAAATCATCTAGGCAGGTATGGGAAATCTAGGCAGGCCTGGAAAGGGGGTGGTGGATGGTGTGGGGCTGAAGGAGAAGAGGTTGTACAGGCATAGGGGAGGGGACGGGGCTGGGCATCCCTGAGGCATTGATGGGGGGAGCCCCGGGCGAAAGACTGAAGATGGTTTGGGGAGGAGACTTCAGCAGCCGCCAGAGAACCGGGCAAGCTGGGTCCTCGGGATCCCTGGGGATCTTCAGAGACACGAGGCTCAGGATCTCTGCATCTCACGAGTCAGGACGTTTGGAGGGGCTGGCGTGGGGATCCGGCAGCAAAGGTGCCTGATTTTCCCTTTGAGTCCTCCCAGCCATCTGTTCCTCCCGCTCTGAGTCACCAGAGTCTGATGAGGGAGATCACAGCGAGGCCTTTACCAAGCCCCCTAAGGCACCCAAATAAAATCTACAGATCACTGTGCCTTCAGAGCCGAGGCCAGAGTGGGTAGAACCGCAGCTTTTATAAAGGCAGAAAAGGAGATGGACGTGAGAGGGGAGGGCGTGAGGAAAGCCAGCTGGGGGCCCCTCCTCTGCCAGCCTTCGGGGTCCTTTCTGAAGCAGAGGGTCTGAGAAACACTCCAGTCCCTCCACAAAAGTGGAAGAATACCTGTCTGGCCGGGGAAAGGGGTTGCCCTGCAGAGAAACGCCTGGAAAAGGGGGGAAGGATGGTTTGGGGTTCCGAGTGGCCCGAAGTGGAACACTGGGGGAAAGCAAGCCTGTCCCGGAGCGGGTTTCCACGGGCTGGGCCGTCCCTCTGCTGCCCTGCGCGCTGCTGCTGACCTCCCTACTCACTCTGCAGCTCTGGGGAGCTCTTTCCTGTGTCAGAACCAGTCCTGCCCTGTGAATTACTGCTACAATCAAGGCCACTGCTACATCTCCCAGACTCTGGGCTGTCAGCCCATGTGCACCTGCCCCCCAGCCTTCACTGACAGCCGCTGCTTCCTGGCTGGGAACAACTTCAGTCCAACTGTCAACCTAGGTACCGCCAGAGACCCCGCCCTCTCACCCCCGCACTCTTCCTGGGCCCCACCCTCTCACCCCCGCACTCCGCCCACCTTTGGGGAAGATGAGGAAGCTCTGGGGTCACAGGACAGAGCTCCAGATTTCTCTGGGATGGTGTAAGGTGCGGGCTATGGGAGCTGGCGAGGCAAGCTGTCACGGCAAGGACCACGGGCCTGTGTGGCCTATGGAGGAAGGACGGAGGCAGAGACCTCACAGCTGGCTCAGTGAGATGAGCGCTGGGGAGGCCCGGAGCATAGTGGAGTGAGCCCTAGCGTGAGGGCCACTTCTCCCGGTTTCTTCAGCAACCTTCTGTCACTGTGGAATGTAGGGTGAGGGCCACTTCTCCCGGTTTGCTCAGCGACCTTCTGTCACTGTGGAATGTAGGGTGAGGGCCACTTCTCCCGGTTTCTTCAGCGACCTTCTGTCACTGTGGAATGTAGGGTGAGGGCCACTTCTCCCGGTTTCTTCAGTGACCTTCTGTCACTGGAATGGAGCAGTCAACTTGGGCTGGCCCGACAGACTTTTTGGGTAAGTCTGGGTAAACCGTGGGGTGATGATACATTTGCTTCTCCCATCTCCAGAACTTCCCTTAAGAGTCATCCAGCTCTTGCTCAGTGAAGAGGAAAATGCCTCCATGGCAGAAGTCAACGCCTCGGTCAGTGCTGCAGGCCGCGCTCTGGGTGGGAGGGGGCGCTTGGCGGGTTCAGGCCAGGGCGGAACCATCGCTGTGCGGCCTTCATCTTGTCATCCATCTGGATTCAACTGCCAGAGGAGGCCGGAGCCTCTTGCCCCATGGGAGGTGCAGGGCATTAGGAAGTGAGGAAGGCCCAAGACAGAAACCTCGACTCATCATAAGCAGAGGCCAGGGTGCCAAGTCACCCCAGCCGAGACCTCTAAGCATCTTGGTTATGATCTGAAAGAAACTAAAGGACATTTCACCTCCCGGGAGTCTTCCCTGACTTCCCAGAGGGAACGGGCGGCTCCCTCTTCTTGGCTGCCATGCCATACCTCAGTCACAGGCAAAGTGGCACAACTGCTGAGTGGTTGGGGCTGTAGAATCCTGCACACCCAGAATCAGAATCCCTGCTCTGCCCCTCACTAGAGCAGGTGTGCTAACTAGACACATCATATAACAGGTCATCTGTAAACACAGGGACAATCATAGCACCTGAGTCAACAGGCCGTATCACCGTTTAAATGATAACGCGTGTCAAGCATTTAGTCCAGTGCCTGACACACAAGTATTCAAACATGATGACTGCTATTATCACTACTGCAAGCCTAGCACTCCCCACTCCACACTCCACACGGTAAAATCTGTTGACATTTGTCACCTGCGCCAGACAATGCACTCTTTGAGTTTAGACTCCACCTAAGTCACCTTGACACCCCCAGCCCCGACCATCTCCTAGGTCTAAACAACCCATGTTCAATATACTGGGGAGGAGGTCATGAGTCATGTGTCAGAGGCAAGGTAGGGGCCATTCATGTCAGATTCTCTGCTCGTCATATGAGGCTGAGGGGGGGACAGAATGGAAAACCCTTCACTCTCAACAAACATTATTAAGCAAGGACCCATGACACTCACTGAGCTAGGCTAGAGTGCAAGGGTGCAGAGACAGGTGAGGAAGGTGCTGGGGTCCTGGGGCTCCCGTTCCAGGAGGAAACAGGGATGAATACACCCATCAAGGTGGGAGGGCGTCTCCCCCCCGGATGGGGCCTCACCCCCACCCCCATCTGCCATCCTCTAACCTAGGTGGCATACAGACTGGGGACCCTGGACATGCGGGCCTTTCTCCGCAACAGCCAAGTGGAACGAATGTAAGTGGGACTGTGTCCCCCTAAGCCCCCAGATCTCTTCCTCATCCCCCACCCCCAGCCCCCCACCCCCCCTCACCGTTGCCCTCCCACACAGCGATTCTGCAGCACCGGCCTCGGGAAGCCCCATCCAACACTGGATGGTCATCTCGGAGTTCCAGTACCGCCCTCGGGGCCCGGTCATTGACTTCCTGAACAACCAGCTGCTGGCCGCGGTGGTGGAGGCGTTCTTATACCACGTTCCACGGAGGAGTGAGGAGCCCAGGAACGACGTGGTCTTCCAGCCCATCTCCGGGGAAGACGTGCGCGATGTGACAGCCCGTGAGTCCGTCCATTCCGGGGACACTATGGGGGTCACTGCGGGGGGCGGGCAAACAGAGGTGCTTCAGCCCACACAAACAAGCTAATTGAGTTTTTCTGTTTGTTTGGTTTTGAGCGAAAACGTGAACATTTTGTCCAGCTGCTTTTTAGATTCGAGAGCAGGAGCAGCCAGCACTGCTGAGGCAGTCACACGTATACAGCTTCACGGAGCAAGCACCCAGCCAGGGCCTTGCTGACTGTGGCTGCTAATAAAACAGCAGCAATTTAGTTTCATAAAATTGCTAATAGTTTTCTTAAAATGCCATTGCACTTAAGCATACACAGGGACACCCCCATCGTCTCTGCTCTCCAGCGGGAGGATATGAAGCTGGAGACTGGAGACTGGCCAGGGACAGAGGCAACTACTCCCTGAAATGGTGTCACCCTGTGCAAGCACCTTCCCCAGGCCAGGCCAGGCCTCAACACCCCCCAGCACCTTCCCCAGGCCAGGCCAGGCCTCAACACCCCCCAGCACCTTCCCCAGGCCAGGCCTCAACACCCCCCAGCACCTCCCCGAGGCCAGGCCTCAACACTCCCCAAGCACCTTCCCCAGGCCAGGCCTCAGCACCCCCATCTGAAAATGAGATGGGATTTCTGAGCCCCCTTTCAGTGCTGACAGCCCCCGGTTTTCCTGGAACAGGAATAAGTTGGCAAGCTTGTCAGAGAAACAAAGGAATAACACGTCCTATTTTCTGTATAGGGCAGAGAACAGGGCAGGGGCCGCCCCAAACACAACAGGAACTGCTGTTTTACTTGGGTCTGGGACCAAGCAAGAGCTTCTCCCAGAATCCAGGCTAAGCCCGCTCTCTCCCGGAGCAGGGGGTGAAATCCCTCAGAACTACTGTATGTTGGGGAGTTGGGGTAGGAGGCGCAGGGAGGCAAGCCCTGACTATGCAATTAAGGAAAACCTATAATTTTTATTATACAAGCATCGTATGTTTATTGCAGAAACTTTAGGAAACACAAACTTAACAAAAAGAAAAGAGGAAAAAAACCCTGTAATCCCAATCCCCAGAGAGACAACAGTATTTCCTACATATCCTTCTGAACTTTCTTTTATGCCTAGGAACCTTCAGACATCCATTTTTTACTGAAGGATCAAATCATTCCTAATGTTGGAAAACCTCCTCATTAAACAGTTGTGAACAGGTTGTCTCATATATTCTGTCCACATTCCCATTTGACATATTATGATGGTATGTTTGAATATAGTGTCATATTTTAAAATACATTATAATAATCATTACCATTGTTTGAGTGCTTACTGTGTGTCCGGCACTGTACTGAGTACTGTGGACACATTATCTCATTTAAATCTCACAGCAGCATAAGTGCTATTATGATCATTTCCTTTTAAAGATAAGGAAACTGAAGCTGAAAGAGTGAAGGAATGTTCCCTGAATTACACATCTAGTCACTAGCAGAGTTTCAGTTTCCACCCAAGTCTGGCCACCTTCAAAGCATGTGCTCTTCAGGAAAGCATTTTCCATAGGAACCTTTTTCCACAGGAACCTTTTTCCCTAGGAACCTTTTTCCCTAGGAAACTTTTTCCATAGGAAGCACCATCCCTTGGTAAGGATGTGCAGTAGTTTATTTAACCAGACCCTACTTCTGAAACGTTACTATTATCCACCATGCTGATCTGAACGTCCAGGGGCATATGTATCTGTGCACTTCTCCAATTATTTCTCAGGATAAACACCCGAAAAGGAATTCGTGGCTGAAAAGGTACTGATTTAGTGTTCATCGGTTGCTTTCTGTGTTAATCTGTGTCCTTCCCGACAGTGAACGTGAGCACGCTGAAGGCTTACTTCAGATGCGATGGCTACAAGGGCTACGACCTGGTCTACAGCCCCCAGAGCGGCTTCACCTGCGTGTCCCCGTGCAGTAGGGGCTACTGTGACCATGGAGGCCAGTGCCAGCACCTGCCCAGTGGGCCCCGCTGCAGGTGCATAGGGCTGTGGCCAGGAGGTGGAGGACAGTGCTGGGGAACCCAAGCTGGGCAAGACACTGCAAGGGGTCCAGGAATTAGGATGGCTCGAGAGATCAGAGACCAGGGAAGAGAGGACAGTGGAAAAGGAGAGTTGTGAGTGCCTGCTCTGTGTGGAGAATAAAGGCGCTATATTACAAACTCTGAAACCCAAAAGAGCCATAGGGGGGCTTAGAACTATTTCGAAGATGAGAAAACTGCAGCTTAGAGATGACAAGGAACCTGCCCCAGGACGCAGTAGGTTAAGCAGCAGGGCATGGTTTCCAAAGCCAAACATTTTTTATATTTTTATGTTTTGAGATGGAGTGTCATTTGTCGCCCAGGCTGGAGTGCAGTGGTGCGTTCTCGGCTCACTGCAACGTCCTTCTCCCGCGTTCAAGCGATTCTCCTGCCTCAGCCTCCCGAGTAGTTGGGACTACAGGCATGCACCACCACGCCCAGCTGATTTTTGCATTTTTAGTAGAGACGGGGTTTCGCCATGTTGGTCAGGCTGGTCTCGAACTCCTGACCTCAGGTGATCCGTCCACCTTGGCCTCCCAAAGTGCTGAGATTACAGGCGTGAGCCACCGCGCCAGGGCCCAAAGTCAAACCCTCCCACCTGATCTGGCTGCTGCTTCCCTGCTGTCTCCTTGTGGGAAAAGAACCTGCAGTCCTGTGTCTAGGCCAGTCCTGCCCCTCAGTCAAGCGAGGCGCCTTTGCCCCTGCCCTCATCAGCAGTCCCCGGGGCTCCGCTGGTTAACAGCGCAGGAAGCCGCGGCCCCACGCAGACCTGGGCTCCGGGCCCTCCGCCAGCTGCAGTTCCAGATCCCGCCGAAGGAGGGGGCGGGCGGAGCGCGGGTGGGGCGGGGCCCGGCTCTCCGGGTGGGCGGGGCGGGGCGGGGCCGGGCTGGGGCGGGGGTGTGACTGCGCATGCCCACCTGTGGCCGGCATCCCTGCCGCCCAGGTGCAGCTGACTGCACGTGCAGCTGAATTCACACCAGGTTTTTGTTTTTGTTTTTTGAGACGGAGTCTTGCTCTGTCCCCCAGGCTGGAGTGCAGTGTTGCAATCTCGGCTCACTGCAACCTCCACCTCCCAGGTTCAAGCGATTCTGCCTCAGCCTCCTGAGTAGCTGGGATTACAGGTGCGCACCACCACGCCTGGCTAATTTTGTATTTTTAGTAGAGATGGGGTTTCACCGTGTTGGCCAGTCTGGTCTCGAACCCCTGACCTCAAGTGATGCGCCCGCCTCAGCCTCTCAATGTGCTGGGATTACAGGCGTGAGCCCCCGCGCCGGCCCAGGCCCATGTTTTTAAAGCCCACACCTGCCTCCTTTGCCCAGTGGTCTCACTTCAGCACGGCCTCAGGGCTGACTCAGTCTCTCCGGAGAGTGGGGCGAGCCCAGCCTCTCCTACAGAACCTCTTCTTCCCCAGCAGAAGAGGAGGGGCTGGGAGGCTGAGCTCCCGCCTCTGACCGCCTGTCTGTCTCTCTTGGTCACCAGCTGTGTGTCCTTCTCCATCTACACGGCCTGGGGCGAGCACTGTGAGCACCTGAGCATGAAACTCGACGCGTTCTTCGGCATCTTCTTTGGGGCCCTGGGCGGCCTCTTGCTGCTGGGGGTCGGGACGTTCGTGGTCCTGCGCTTCTGGGGTTGCTCCGGGGCCAGGTTCTCCTATTTCCTGAACTCAGCTGAGGCCTTGCCTTGAAGGGGCAGCTGTGGCCTAGGCTACCTCAAGACTCACCTCATCCTTACCGCACATTTAAGGCGCCATTGCTTTTGGGAGACTGGAAAAGGGAAGGTGACTGAAGGCTGTCAGGATTCTTCAAGGAGAATGAATACTGGGAATCAAGACAAGACTATACCTTATCCATAGGCGCAGGTGCACAGGGGGAGGCCATAAAGATCAAACATGCATGGATGGGTCCTCACGCAGACACACCCACAGAAGGACACTAGCCTGTGCACGCGCGCGTGCACACACACACACACACACACGAGTTCATAATGTGGTGATGGCCCTAAGTTAAGCAAAATGCTTCTGCACACAAAACTCTCTGGTTTACTTCAAATTAACTCTATTTAAATAAAGTCTCTCTGACTTTTTGTGTCTCCAAAACCAGGAATTCCATTCTTGATTTTCTTCTGGTGGCCGAAGGGCTGGACACAGACTTCTCCCAACCATCAGAGGGCACAGAGTGTGGAGGTTAAGTGCTGGGCAGCAGTGGAGCATTAGGGGCAGCTGGATCCAGTCCTAATCAGCCCGGTTACCCATGCTGGAAACCCTCAGTTGCTCCACCCCAACCTTGCTTCATGCTCCACATCACCTTCTTCTTCCCCCACCCCAGCACAGGCCAAAGCTTCGCCCGCTAAGGAGGAGAGCGAAAGAGATACCCCAAGATGGAGTGCCCCAGACTCTCTCCCAGGACCCCTCCCTGCCTGCCTGTCCATCAGTTTCACAAAAGTCGTAAAAGGATCAATGCACAGTGTGTTTACCTGTCTGGTGGCTGTCCCCACCGCCTGCGTTTCATGGAAGAGCGATTAAACCATTTCAGCTCCCTTTCCAGGAACCAACTCAAGAAACATGCCACCACCCCACCCTTAGATCTGGAGGGCCCGACCCCTCATATACCCTCTCTGTCCTTTCCCGGACCCCAGATGGAGTCTTCTGAGGTTCTCCATCCCACAGCCCTTCACCTCTACCCTGCCTCCACTTGCCCCAGCAACCTGATCAGCTTCCACAGAATCCTCTCAGCAGGCGGGACTTTTACACCTATCTGGTGTAATAACTCCAACACAATTGGTCCACAATTCCTGTGTCTAGAAAATCTCAATTCCAACTTTATGCAGAAACTAGGTAGCTGCCTCTTAGTTCTAAATCCCAAATCCCTGAAGAGAGAATCTGACTGGTCCAATTTACATCAGTTGTTTATGCCTGGTCCAATAAAATGTAGTCATGGGGTCAGAAAGGAGGTCACATGGTGCAAAGCAGGTGTTCAAGCTCATTCTTGCGGGTGGGTAAGTGCTGTTGAAGGAAGCTCCCAAAGGAATATCTTTGGTTGGGCACGGTGGCTCACGCCTGTAATCCCAACATTTTGGGAGGCCAAGGCGGGCAGATCACTTGAGGCCAGGAGTTTGAGACCAGCCTGGCCAACATAGTGAAACCCTGTCTCTACTAAAATACAAAAATTCGCTGGGCATGGTGGCACACGCCTATAATCCCAGCTACTCAGGAGGCTGAGGCAGGAGAATCTCTTGAACCCAGGAGGCGGAGGTTGCAGTGAGCTGAGATTGTGCCACTGCACTCCAGCCTGGGCAACAGAGCAAGACTCTGTCTCAAAAAAAAAAAAAAAAAAAAAATATATATATATATATATATATAAAGAATATATATATAATCTTTGTATTAGGGTTCCCTAGAGGGTCAGGACTAATAGGATAGATGTATATATAAAGGGGAGTTTATGAAGGAGTATCGACTCACACGATCACAAAGTGAGGTCCACAATAGGCTGTCTGCAAGCTGAGAAGCAGGGAAGCTAGTCTGAATCCCAAGATCTCAAAAGTAGGGAAGCCGACAGTGTAACCTTAAGTCTGTGGCAGAAGGCCCAAGAGCCCCTGACAAACCACCAGTGTAAGTCCAAGAGTCCAAAAGCTGAAGAACTGGAAGTCCGATGTTTGAGGGCAGGAAGCATCCAGCACGGGAGAAAGATGAAGGCTGGAAGACTTAGCCAGTGTAATCCTTCCACATTCCTCTGCCTGCTTTATTCTGGCTATGCTGGCAGCTGATTAGATTGTGTCCACCCAGACTGAGAGTGAGCCTGCCTCTCCCAGTCCACTGATTCAAATATTAGTCTCCATTGCCAACACCCTCACAGAGAGACACCCAGGAACAATACGTTGCATCCTTCAGTCCAATCAAGTTGACACTCAATATTAACCTTCACAGTCTTTGATCTGAGCAGACTCCAAACTTACATGGAGAATGACTTCTCCCAATAGGTGAAGCCACTCTCCTACATACAAAGCTGTAGCTTTACCCTCATATGCCCCAAAGTGGAATGTAATGAAGTCTCCATACAAAACTGCAGTCACAGCATTCATTTATCAAGAAGCAAGCACACAGCACAGATGAGTTCGCTGGTGAATTTTAGCAGATATTTAAGGGGAAATAATACCTATTTTCTGCAATCTTTTCCAGAAGATAGAAGCAGGAGGAATACTTCCTAAGTCATTTGTCACTGTCACCCTAATGCCAAAACGGGACAAAGACATTACAAGACGACTATAGACCAATATATCTCACATAGATGCAAAAATTACCAACAAAATATTAGCAAATACAGTTCAACAATATGTAAAAAGAATTATAGGCCATGACCAACAGAGATTTATCCCAGGTATGCAAGACTGGTTCAATATTCAAAAATCAGCTAATGCAATCCGTTACATCAACAGGCTAGAGAAGAAAAATCACATGATCGGCCAGGCATGGTGGCTCACGTCTGTAATCCCAGCACTTTGGGAGGCCGAGGCAGGCGGATCACGAGTTCAGGAGATCGAGACCATCCTGGCTAACACGGTGAAACCCCATCTCTACTAAAAACACAAAAAATTAGCTGGGCGTGGTGGTGGGCGCCTGTAGTCCCAGCTGCTTGGGAGGCTGAGGCAGGAGAATGGTGTGAACCCAGGAGGCGGAGATTGCAGTGAGCCGAGATCACACCACTGCACTCCAGCCTGGGTGACAGAGTGAGACTCTGTCTCAAAAAATAAATAAATAAATAAATAAATAAAAGAATATCTACAAAAACCTACAGCTAACATCATCCTTAACGGTGAGAAATTAGATGCTTTCCCCTAAGATTAGTAACAAGGCAAGAACGTCCCCTCTCACCATCGATTCTCAACATCCTGCTGGAGGTCTTGGCCAATGCAACTAGACACAAAAGGGAAATAAAAGGTATACAGAATAAAAAGGAAGAAACAAAACTGCTTTGTTCACAGATGACACAATCATCTATGTAAAAAAATCTAAGAGTTGACAAAAGGAAAAAACCCCAGAACAAAGAAGCAATTTCAGACAAGTTTCATGATATAAGGTTAGTGTCCTAACGTCAACAGCTTTCGTGTGTGCCAGCAAAGAACAATTGGAATTTAGAATTAAAAATATTTGAGCAAGACAGGAAACAAAAAAAGAAAAATGAATAATAAAATTAAATACATATGACCATTTACATTAGCATCCCCCAAAATGAAATACTGAGGTGTAAATGTAACAAAATATGTACAAGATCTATATGAGAAAAACTATAAAACTCTGATGAAAGATATCAAAGAACTTCATAAATGGGATGACATTCTATGTTTATGAACAGGAAGACTCTTTTTTTTTTTTTTTTTTGAGATGGAGTCTCCCTCTGTCACCCAGGCTGGAGTGCAGTGGCACCATCTCAGCTCACTGCAACCTCAGCCTCCCGGGTTCAAGCAATTCTCTTGCCTCAGCCTCATGAGTAGCTGGGATTACAGGCACACACCACCACGCCTGGCTAATTTTTTTTTGTATTTTTAGTAGAGATAGGGTTTCGGCATTTTGGCCAGGCTGATCTCAAACTCCTGACCTCAGGTGATCCACCCTCCTCGGCATCCCAAAGTGCTGGGATTATAGGTGTGCGCCAGCACAACAGGCCAGAAGACTCAATATTATTAAGATAGCAGTTCTCAATATTATCAAGATAGCAGCAGATCAAGATAGCCAACTTGATCTACAGATTCTACATAATGACACAATCTTAATCAAAATCCCAGGAAGTTATTTGTAGATATGGATAAACTGGCTCTAAAGTTTATGTGGAGAGGCAAAAGATCCAAAATAGCCAAATCAATATTGATGGAGAATGGTCAGAGGACTGATACCACCTGACTTCAAGGCTTACTCTAAAGCTATAGTCATGAAAGCAGCATGATACTGGCAAAAGAATAGACAAATAGATCAATGGAACAGAATAGAGAGCCCAGAATATTAAAAGTAATATTTCTAATAGACCTGTATAAATGTGTCAACTGATCTTTGACAAAGCAGCAGAGGCCACACAATGGAGCAGAGATAGTGTTTTCAATAAATGACGCTGGGACAACCGGACATCCACAAGCAAAAAAAAAAAAAAAAAAAAAAAAAAAAAAAAAAAAATCTAGACACAGACCTTATACCTTTCATAAAAACTCAAAATGAATCATAAACCTCAATAAAATGCAAAACTGTAAGACTCCCAGAAGATAATATAGGAGAAAATCTAAATGACCTTGAGTATGGTGATGACATTTTAGATACAATAGCAAGGGCATGATCCATGAAGGAAATAATTGATGAGCTGAACTTCATTAACATTAAAAACTTCTTCTCTGTGAAAGGCAATGGCAAGAGAATGAAAATATTTGCAAAAGTCCCATCTGATTAAAGACTTTTATCTAAAATATACAAAGAGCCGGGTGCACTGGCTCAGACCTGAAATCCCAGCACTTTGGGAGGCTGAGGTAAGCGGATCAATTGAGGTCAGGCGTTGGAGACCAGCCTGGCCAACATGGTGAAACCCTGTCTCTACTAAAAATACAAAAATTAGCTGGGTGTGGTGGCGGGCGCCATTACTACTACCAGTAGTAGTAATCCCAGCTACTCGGGAGGCTGAGGCAGGATAATCACTTGAACCCAGGAGGCGGAGATTGCAGTGAACTGAGATCGCGCCACTGCACTCCAGCCTGGGCAACAGAGTGAGACTCTGTCTCAAAAAATATTAATTAATTAATTAAATATACAAATAACTCTTACAACTCAACAATAAGAAAATGAACAACCCAGTTTTTTAAATGGGTAAAAAAACTGAACATACATATCACCAAAGAAGACATTCACATGGCACATAAGCATCTACAAAGATGTTCAACATCGTATGTCATTAGGGAACCGCAAACAACGCGAAACCCATGCACACCCGTTAGAATGACCACAATCGCCAGGCATCGTGGCTCACAACTGTACTCAATACACACCTGTTAGAATGACCACAGTCACCAGGCACTGTGGCTCACACCTGTACTCCCAGCACTTTGGGAGGCTGAAGCAGGAGGATCACTGGAGCCCAGGAGTTTGAGACCAGCCTGGGCAACAAAGCAAGATCCCATCTCTACAAAAAATTAAAAAATTATATGGGCACGGTAGCATGTGACTGTGGTCCCAGCTACTCTGGAGGCTGAGATGGCAGGATTGCTTGAGCCCAGGAGGTTGAGGCTGCAGTGAGCCGCGATCCAGCCTTCACTCCAGCCTGAGCAATGGAGTGAGACCCCGTCTCAAAAGAAAAAGAAAAAAAGAATGATCAAAATCCACAGCACTGAAAACTTCAAATGCTGTTCAGGATGTGGAGCAACAGGAACCCTCCTTCATTGCTGGTGGGAAGGCAACATGGTACAACCACTTTGGAAGACAATTTGGCAGTTTCTTTTTTTTTTTTTTTTTTGGAGATGGAGTCTGGCTCTGTCGCCCAGGCTGGAGTGCAGTGGCACGATCTCGGCTCACTGCAAGCTCCGCCTCCCGGGTTCACGCGATTCTCCTGCCTCAGCCTCCTCAGCAGCTGGGACCACAGGCGCCCGCAATTTGGCACTTTCTTACCAAACTAAACCATACTCTTACTATGCAGTCCAGCAATCACACTCCTTGATATTTACCCAAAGGGACAGAAAACGTTTTTGTCCACACGAAAACCTGCACATGGAGGTTTATAGCAGCTTTATTCATAATTTATAGCAGCTTTATTCATAATTGCCAAAACTTGGAAGCAACCAAGATGTCCTTCAGCAGGTGAACGGGTAAATAACCTATGGTGCATTCAGACGATGGAATATTATTCAGTGCTAAAATGAAATGAATTACACAGCCATGAAAATACATACAGAAAACTTAAATGCATATACTATGTGAAAGAAGACAATCTGAAAAGGCTATTTACCTTACGGTTGCAATTATATGACATTCTGGAAAAGGTAAAACTATGGAGACAGTGAAAAGATCAGTGGTTGCCAGGGGTTGGGGATGAATAAGTGAAGCACAGAGGATTTTTAGGGCACTGAAACTACTTATTTTTCTGTATGATGCTACAATGGCAGAAACATTTATGTTATTTTTTGAGATTGAGTCTCACTCTGTCGCCCAGAATGGAGTGCAGTGGTGCGATCTCTGCTCACTGCAACCTCCACCTCCCGGGTTCAAGCGATTCTCCTGCCTCAGCCTTCCATGTAGCTAAGACTACAGGCATGCGCCACCACACCCGGCTAATTTTTGTATTTTTAGTAGAGATGGGTTTTCGCCGTGTTGGCCAGGCTGGTCTCGAACTCCTGATCTCAAAGAGATCCACCCGCCTCCACCTCCCAAAGTGCTGAGATTACAGGCATGAGCCACTGCGCCGGGCCAGCCGATACGTTGTTGAATAGAGAATGGAGAATATCCAACGCCAAAAATGTGCTGTCAACTCTGGACTTTGATGAGGATATGTTGACGTGGACGCATCGACTGTCACACGTGCCACCTGGTGCAGGGCGTTGGTGGTGGGGGAGGCTGGGCGTAGGTATATGTGTGTGTGGCAGGGGGCATATGGGAACTTTCTGTATTTTCCACTCAGGAAAATTTTGCTGTAAACCCAAAACTGCTCTAAAAAGCAAATTTTATTATTTAAAAGATGATTTTAAAATTAATATATTTAAATTTTTAAAAGAATTAAGCACACATGGCACTAACGGGGCGGCTAGGGAGCCAACCATCCATCAGTTGTGAGGAAGGGGGAGGCCTGCAGGCATGAAGGAGCTGGTGAGACCGCCCTCACCTGGCTGCCAGAATCCCAATTCCATGAGGACCTTGTCATGTGACTCAAAGTCAGAGACAGCAGAAGGTCCAAAAGTTACAACTTACCTGAAACCCACCAGGCACTATTGGCAAAGGATTCACCCCCACCATGGAAGGCACGTGAGCGCTGTGGGTGCCCTGTGTCATCAACTGCGGAGAAAGGAAACCAGAAAGAGCAAAAGCAAAGCAGCGAGTGGGGAGCAGAACCGCCCCAAACCCAAGGTCCCTCCTCCCCTGTCCACCTTCACACACTAAGCAATGGAGGGAGCGGGAGGACAGAGCCTGTGTTTGATGGACAGCTCCTCCCGAGGCAGAGGAGAGGCCCAATACCTGGGAGAAGGCTGGGAGCTTGCTACCCCTGAAGGAGACCCGCAGATTGGACGGAAGAGAGGAGCCAGGGACCCTCGTGGGAGAGGATGCATTAAAAGTAGGGCTGTCTGGGCCAGGTGTGGTGGCTCACACCTGTAATCCCAGCACTTTGGGAGGCCGAGGCAGGCAAGTCACCTGAGGTCAGGAGTTCAAGACCAGCCTGACCAACATGGTGAAACCCTGTTTCTACCAAAAATATAACAAATTAGCTGGGCGTGGTGGCGCACACCTGTAATCCCAGCTACTTGGGAGGCTGAGACAGGAGAATCCCTTGAAACCAGGAGGCGGAGCTTGCAGTGAGCCGAGATGGCACCACTGCACTCCAGCCTGGGTGACAGAGTGAGACTGGGTCTCAATAATAATAATAATAATAATAATGAAAGTAGGGCTGTCCAATTTAGCAAATGAAAATACAAGCAGCCCAGCTTAAATTTCAGATTAACCACAAATAATTGTTTTAGTTTAAAGATATCCCATGAACTATTTGGAACATTCTTGTATATTTTTAAGTGTTCACCGTTTATCCGAGGTTCTCATTTAAGTGGCTGTTCTGTGTTTTCTTGGTGAGCCCAGTCAAAGCCGCTGAGGCCCTGACAGCACGGGAGGAGGAGGCGTCCCAAGAAAGGAGAGGGCACCTGGGGACACCCTTCTCTAGCTGGACAGGGAGCTGCCCCTTCACGAGTGGGACAGTCAGAAGGACAAGGACACAACCATCCATTTTCGTCAGCTCATTCCCTGGCTACAAGTGGTCTGGATTCTGTCGCTTTGGCCCCTGGAATAAAATAACTGACTGACCCTTCCCCAGGGTGCCAGGTGTGAGTTTGCTTGGAAGAGAGAAGGGTGCAGACCCCCGACCCCTGCTGGTGGCAGCAGCTGGGACACCTTCAGTGGGCTCGAGAGTGGCAAAAGGAGCTATCTGGGGCAAAGCTTGGCCAAAGACACAGACTCCCTTGCCCATTCTTCCCTGCTTCAAAGGAGCCTTCCAGAAACTCCCCACAGGCCTGAAGTAAGTGGCTTAATGACTGGGATGATGAGTGATAGGTCACTGGCATGATGCACCCCTTTACGCATTTACTGGCACCAGAAAGTGATATGATGGCCACTATTAAAGTGTGGGGCGCACCCACGGAATTCGTTTCCATTCAAATGCTTTGCATACTTTGGTGGCCAATCCCCCTCTCAAGGGATGAAGGCAGGACTGGCTGTGGCAGAAGCTTCAGATGAGGTCTCTGGTCAGAGAAGTTCCACCTCACGTTGTCTTCATCATTGCTGTGGAGTTTCGCCGTCTCAGAGCTCACACCAAGTCACAGGTGACTTTAGACAGGCCATCTTGTTTAGGTCCATGCTTAAATTTGTCTTTATAAAACGTGGCATTTTTACCTCATATACACACACTTTAGAATCTTAAATAGCTGGAGAGTTTTCTCCAGGGACTTCTGGCTCCTGTTAGCTTGGTAACATTACTCCTGCTAACTTTGGTCATCTCCAGTAATACAGGCGTGCACACACACACACACACACACACACAGTCTCTCTTCCTCTTTATTGTCCCCCCCCAACCCACCCACATGCAATCATAATGATACATTTTAGTTCCCAAATGCTTCTAATTTGTGTTGTTCTTGTTGACGTTTTGAGACACGGTCTCGCTCTGTCACCAGGCTGGAGTGCAGTGACGCAATCTCAGCTCACTGCAACCTCCGCCTCCCAGGTTCAAGTGATTCTCCTGCCTCACCCTTTTGAGTAGTTGGGATTACAGGCACCTGCCACTATGCCCAGCTAATTTGTGTATTTTTAGTAGAGACAGGATTTCACCATGTTGCCTGGGTTGGTCTCAAACTCCTGGCCTCAAGTGATCCGCCTGCCTCGGCCTCTCAAAGTGCTGGGATTACAGGCATGAGCCACCGCACCCAGTCTCTAATTTGTGTATCCCATATTTTACAGATTTTTTAAGCTAGTCAAATTTTACAATTTTTTTACTTCCAAAAATAACAGTAATCAGCATCATATGTACATGTCCGTGTCCTCATATGTAGTAATTAAGATTACATGAGCCACTGTATTAAGTATCACCCACTTGAGGAAATACAAAGCAAGAGAAGAAAACCTATTTAAGAATTGGGTTTATATAACAGTGGTGTTGTCATTTTTGTAAACTGCTCTCCATTCATGCCAAATTATAGAGCAGCTTCGGAACAATTATATCATTAAATTTACGTTTTGTGTGATTTCAGTACTGAATGCCCTTTTCTTAACTTTCAGAGCCCACTGAAAGTTTCGGGGCTCACGTGGCCCACCATTGTCCCAGTCACTCAGCAAACACATCAGTGCCCTCATGTGGAGGGCTCCACGCCAGCTTCTGTGATGACAGAGGTGAATACTACCGGCTGCTTGTCCTCGAGCACGTACAATGTAACAAACTTGTAAATAAAATAAGCACATTATAATACAGCATGTTAAGTGTTACAACAGAAACACAAGAGACCAGAAAATCAGCACCTCTGTAGGGAATCTGATGAAGTCATGGAGAGGTGCCATCTGAACTGGGCTTTGAGGAATGAATAGGAGTTTTCCAGGTGAAGGGACCAGGGGGAGGAATCATGATGGGCAGACGCTCCAGATGAAAGCAGGTGTGCCTGGGGTTAGCGAGCTGCTTCCTGTGCAAGCAGCATAGGATATGGAAGATGGGGCCGTGACCTGGAGCTAAGATAGTTGGCTGAGGCCATATCATGAAGACCCTTGCATACGAAGGTGGGGATTCCATCCTGGAGGTAGGAACAGGAGTAGCTTTGATTTGGGAGAGGAAAGCTCTGCAGATGGTGTAAAAGGTAGGTTGGAGTTAAAAAAATTTTTTTTAAGTTCCATTTTAAGAAAAAAGAAGATAAAATAACATTTCATGAATTTTTTTCTGTCCTAATAAATATATGTTTCAACAATGCTTCTGTAGCTTGCGTAAAATAACGCTATAGTGTTTAAGCAAACTGTTACATGGGGAGATTTGAGGTTACTTGTGTTTTGTTTTGCCTTTTTCATCTATGAGTTATTGTAAACAGTTAGGCACAGATTCTAAATTACTTCCTTAAGATAAATCAGTAACGAAACTGCTGAGTTAAAGGTATGTACATTTTTCGGGCTTTAAATAAATCAGTTAAATTGTCCTCCGGAAAGGTTGTACCAATTTCTTCCCTACTAGGAGTGTTTAAGAATGCCCGTTTGCCCAGCACCCAGTATAGATCAGTACAGACATACAATAAGCAATATCTCACTGTATTAATGGACCTGTTTTTGCTACTGAAGTCACACGTTCTTTTTCATGGGGGGTGGTGGCGGGAGGAGAGGACATTTGTATTTCTTCTTTTGTGAATTACCTGTTGCCATTTACCCATTTTTCTACTGGTATGTTTGCCTTTTTATTTTCTTGCGCTGTAAGAGTTCTCTATATATTAAGGGCATCCTGTTGTTGCTATATGCGGTGTAAATAAGTTCTTTCAACTTATTATTGCTGTACGTGTCTAACTTCAATCCCTGGGAGAAGAGACAGATTTGAATCCTCCACGGCACATAGCTCAGTCTCTCTTCTGCGGCAGCTGCCCAACATATATGCCAAGATGAGCGAATTATTTTT
Source organism: Homo sapiens (assembly GCF_000001405.40). Taxonomy (NCBI): domain Eukaryota; kingdom Metazoa; phylum Chordata; class Mammalia; order Primates; family Hominidae; genus Homo; species Homo sapiens. Next base: position 106,499 of record NT_187532.1, on the reverse strand, counting down.
GTCCGAGCTACTTTATGAAACTCATTCTGCCCCACTCCAGAAATGGAAGGGATCTGTCAAACGTTCAGACTCCCCTTGCTCACAGCAGCATCAACATTGTCTCCTTGTTTCCTTCATTCATCTAACAAATGTTTACTGAGCCCCTGGTATGTGCCAGGTACTGTTCTTGGCACTAGGGAAACCATAATGGGCAAAATCTTTCATTCTAGTTGGAGGACTCAGATAATAAAGAAAACAAAATATGTATGACGTTCAATTGTGATCAGCACTATAAAGTACGTCAAAGTACAGAAGGGGAGACTGAATTTGTAGGCAGCATGGTCATGGTAGACCTCGCTGAGAAGGGGCATGAAGGTGGAGGTAGAGGGTTTAGACAAGTGGATATGTAGAGGAGAAGGCTTCTGAGCAGACTAAGCAATGCACAGAAAGGTCCCAAGGCAAGAGCAGGCCCAGCGCATTCAAGGGACAAGAAAGACGTCCGTGTGGCTGCGGTGCAGTCAGCAAATTAAGGAGGCAGGGGAGGGGCGCAGGTCGTGCACGGCTTTGCAGCTGTTGTCGGAGCTTTTCTTCTGAGTGAAATGGGAGGATTGGAGCAAAGAAGTGGTGTGGTCTGCCTTATGTTGTAAAAAGACAGCCCTGGCTGACACACTGGGACTAGACTGGGGTGGGGGCTGAGCTGGAAACAGGGAGACCTGTAGTAGTGCAGGTGAGAGATGATGGCATCGTGGACCATCTCGGTGGTAGCACTGGAGATGCTGAGGAGGGGCCACATTCTGGGCACAGTTTGATGGCCTTAGAGCCAGCAGAATTTCCTGGTGCAAAATGTGAGAGGGGAATAAAGACGGTGCCGAGGATTTCGGCCTGAGCACCTGAAGGATGCAACTGACGTTAACTGAGATGGGGAAGATGCAGGTGGGGCAGGTCCAGAGGAAAAGATCAGAACTTCGATTTTAGAAATGTGGAGGCCAGGAGCAGTGCTCATTAACTGGAATCCCAGCACTTTGGGAGGCCGAGGTGGGTGGATCACTTGAGGTCAGGAGTTTGAGACCAGGCTGGCTGACACGGTGAAACTCCGTCTCTACTAAAAATTCAAAAAATTAGCCGAGCATGGTGGTGGCACCTGTAGTCCCAGATACTCAGGAGGCTGAGGCAGGAGAATCACGTGAACCCAAGAGGTGGAGCTTGCAGTGAGCTGAGATCACGCCACTGCACTCCAGCCTGGGTGACAGAGCCAGGCTCCTTTCCATCTCAAAAAGAAAAAAAAAAAGAAAGAAATGTTGAATGTGAGGTATGTATTTCATCAACATCCAAGTGGAGAGATTAAGAATTGAAATGAATACACAGTATACATTAATAATAATAGCTGTATATAAGGCTGGGCACAGTGGCTCATGTCTGTAATCCCAGCACTTTGCGAGTCTGAGGCAGGAGGACTGCTTGAGCTCAGAAGATCGAGACCAACCTGCTCAACATGGTAAAGCCCCTTTTTTACAAAACAAAGTACAAAAATTAGCCAGCTGTGGTCCCAGCTCCTCAGGAGGCTGAGGTGGGAGGATCACTGGAGCTGGGAGGTGGAGGCTGCAGTGAGCCATGGTCGCACCACTGCACTGCAGTTTGGGTGAGAGTGAGACCCTGTCTCAATTTTAAAAAATAAATCGTTGTATCTAAGAGGTGGGATTATAGAAAAGTTTTTCTTTCTCCTCTTCCCACTTCTTACTTTGCTTGGTCTTTGGAATATTTCAAAATTTTGAAATCATAAACAAGTTTTACTTTTATTTTAAATTTATTTATTTATGAGACAGAGTCTTGCCCTTTTGCCCAGGCTGGGGTGCAGTGGTAGGATCTTGGGTCACTGCAACCTCTGCCTCCCGGGTTCAAGTGATTCTCCCGTCTCAGCCTCCTGGGTAGCTGGGATTACAGGCACCTGCCACCACACCCAGCTAATTTTCGTGTTTTTAGTAGAGACGGGGTTTCACCATGTTGGCCAGGCTAGTCTCAAACTCCTGACCTCGTGATCCACCGGCCTCGGCCTCCCAAAGTGCTGGGATTACAGGCGTGAGCCACTGAGCCTGGCCAAGTTTTACTTTTATAATAAAAAGTAAACCATATTAATTTTTTAAAAAAATAATAGCATGTAAGTTATAACATATAAGAGGAATAATTGAGGCTTGTGTCCAGAACTTGAAATTTAAATTTAGGTCAATTCCACATTCTCTGCGATCCCACTGCAGGCCAGACACTCTGCTAGTTCAGGGGATACTGAGATGAACAAAGGTGGTCCCTGCCCTGCTGCAGCGGGCTGTTCGACAGGCTCCAGGCCCGTCTCAGTAAATGCTATCATCAAAGTCCAAACCAAGACCTGGGGGAGTAGAAGGAGGAGGTAGCAGTGAGACTATACACAATCCCTGTACTATAAAAATGGCGAAAGCATGCAGATCAATAGACAGCCTCTGGGCCACACTGAGTGAATTTTAATGCAGGATGGAAGCACACAGATGGGTGATCAGGTCTCTCTTTACTGAAACACAGAACATGTGCCAAGGTGAGTCCAAGGACACCTCTGGGAACAGGTGAAGCCCCTCCCCACACATACACTCCGGTGGATGTGAGCGAGGGTCCTGTTGCCACATCTGGGGTCAGGGGCTTGGACATGCTGCCCTTCATGGGAACCTTCTGGGTACCTCTCAGCACAGTAACGCAGCTGCAGTCTGTCGGTGGGGGCCCAGGCTAGGGGCAGCACCCTCTTTTGGCATACGGGACATGCCTGGCTGCAGCTGATGTCCGTTAGCCTCTCCTGACACGCAGTAAGGAGACCTGGAAGTGAGGCGCGTGGGCGTGGAGTTCCCGGTGGAGCTGGAGAGCAAAAGAGCCAGCTGTCCTTTCAGCCCATCTGGCCCATGAGCTCGCCAGAGGCAGAGGACAGGAAGGGACACTGGGGCAGAGTGCATGCGGAGGACGGCAACCCTTCCTGGGCCTCCTACATGCTGGACACAGGCTGGTGCCTCACACACATTATGTCATCTAAACCTCACAGCAACCTTATAAAGCAGGTGTTAGGATCCTCATTTTATAAGGGATGAAAGTCGCATAGAATAACTTATCCAAGATCACACAGTTGGGAACTAGAATTCACACCCAGATCTAGCTGGTTCCTAAGCTCATTGTCTAATCCCCGAGCCCAAACTGTTGGGCTGTCCCCGGACGAGAACTGATGCCCAACCCCATGTGGCCTGGTGCCTGCGCCTCAGCTGCTTGACCTGCTCCTGATCTCGCGGTTTCTTTCCGATTCCTGAAATCATTTCTGGTTTGGGGGCTTAGACCTGAGATTCAAAACTGGCTTCCCGGCCGGGTGCGGTGGCTCACGCCAATAATCCCAGTGCTTTGGGAAGCAGAGGCAGGTGGGTCACCTGAGGTCAGGAGTTCGAGACCAGCCTGACCAACATGGAGAAACCCCATCTCTACTAAAAATACAAAAATTAGCCAGGAGTGGTAGTGTGCACCTGTAATCCCAGCTACTAGGGAGGTTGAGGCAGGAGAATTGCTTGAATCCGGGAGGTGGAGGTTGCAGTGAGCCGAGATCGTGCCATTGCACTCCAGCCTGGACGACAGAGCGAGAATCTGTCTCAAGAAAAATAAAAGAAAAGAAAAGAAAAAGAGAAAGAAAAAGAAAAAGAAAAAGAAAACTGGCTTCCCAGCCGGACGCAATGACTCAACGCCTGTAATCCCAGCACTTTGGGAGGCTGAGGTGGGTGGATCATGAGGTCAAGAGTTCAAGACTAGCCTGGCCAAGATGCTGAAACCTGAAACTCCATCTCTACTAAAAATACAAAAATTAGCCAGGTATGGTGGTGCGGGCCTGTAATCCCAGCTACTCAGAAGGTTGAGGCAGGAGAATGGCTTGAACCTGGGAGGCGGAGGTTGTGGTGAGCCAAGATCGCACCACTGCACTCCAGCTTGGATGACAGAGTGAGACTCAGTCTCAGAAAACAAAACAAAACAAAACAAAACAAAACAAAACAAAACAAAAGCAATTGGCTTCCCTCTCCCACAAGGATTCACACTCGCTACTTTGATTATCACATGCCGGGGGCATTTGTCACTTATTTGGCCATCGGGTGTCGAGCCCCCGTGCCATGTTTAGGGAACTCCTCACAGTGGGAGTCACGATTGGCCTCACTGCTGCTAAGAGAACTCCAAGGACACAGACATCCCTTCTTCCCGTCCCCTGGCACCTGGCTGTGGGCTCATGGGAGTACAAGGGCTAAGCTCAGCCTATCAAATGTTCCTACTCAGGACTTTGGCTCTGGAGCAAAAAGTCCAGTGAGACAAAAAGGCAGCGAGAACCTATGTGAATGTGTGTGCAGGCCACGTGATGCCCCTTGGCTGTGGCAGCATCCAATAGTGACTGACCAGCAAGAGGGACAGTGTCCCAGCCAGCCTGATCCCACTGTCTGGACCTCAGAGCTCCTGGGGGCCCTCCTGCCTATTTTCCAAGCCTGCTGTCCTGGCATTGCTTTGATTCTATGCACTCTGGGACGCTGCCAACAAATCCCCCTTTTACTTACGACAGACAGAGGTTTTCTTTCGCCTGCAACAAAGGATCCCACTCTCCACGGACATATCTTGCTTCCCTCTGCTAAGGGCAATCATTCCACCTGTCCAGCCTGGCTATGAACTCTACACCTGGCATAAGACCCCCAGCCAGCATCTCTGCCAGGTTTACCCTTGCAAGGGATGACAGGAAGCCTGAGCCACTTTTCAGCAGTGTGGCACCCATTGACTGTGAGAGGTGCTGAATGCAAGCTTCAGGTATTAGCAAGGGCACTGTCCCATTGACTGTGAGAGGTGCTGAATGCAAGCTTCAGGTATTAGCAAGGGCACTGTCAAAGAGGCAATCCACATTAGACTGTGCACTGGGCCTGTTTTCACGGTTACATCTGTGAGCAGAGCTTAGACACTTCCCATCATGCCCCATCTGCTACTTTGTACCACACATTAGGAGAACAACCCACCCCTCAGTGAGGCCAGGCCCGTGACATCTGCACTGAGCTGACCCAGTCTAACCTCCAACAAGCCACACCATCCCCATCCTCAAAACCCTGACCCCGGAACTTTACCATTGGAAGTTCTATCCAGTGGGTTTTAGGAGAATTTTCCCAACTTGTACAAATACATCCCAATCATGGTCCTCATCTAGAGTATACATCTCTGCGGTTTTTTCTGCCTAGCCTCCCTATTTTCTTGGGGCTCATCCTTCCTCTATGGGATCCTGACTGGGTTGTCAGTCATGGTGACCCTTGCAGGCCATGGAGACCTGCACTTCCCCAGATGACATGAAAATTTGGGGAGAGGGGGCCGGGTGCGGTGGCTCATGTCTGTAATCCCAGCACTTTGGGAGGCCAAGACGGGTGGATCACGAGGTCAGGAGATTGAGACTATTCTGGCTAACACGGTGAAACCCCGTCTCTACTAAAAAAAAAAACATAAAAATTAGTTGGGCGTGGTGGCGGGCGCCTGTAGTCCCAGCTACTTGGGAGGCTGAGGCAGGAGAATGGCGTGAACCCAGGAGGCGGAGCTTGCAGTGAGCTGAGATCGCACCACTGCACTCCAGCCTGGGCGACAGAGCGAGACTTCGTCTCAAAAAACAAAAAGAAAGAAAGAAAAAGAAAAAAGAAAAGAAAATGTGGGGAGATGGAAGTCCCTTGTGAATCTATGGCTAACAAGGCTGCCTTTTCATACACATGAAGAAAGACTCTGAAGAATGAAGGGAGTAAAGCTAAGACAGGGAAAGAAAGAGAAAGTCCCTGTGATGGCGCTGGAGCTGCTGGATCCAGCCGTACTGAAGCTGAAGAGACACTTGTAGGTTTCTCAGACCTTGCCTTTTTTTTTTTTTTTTTTTTTTTGCATAAACTGCCCTGACTTGGGTTTCTGCCACTTGCAACCAAGAGTCCGACCTACCCTCCCATCAGTATCACTGACCTTTGCCTCAGAGGCCAGAAGGCCAAGCTTCCAAGGACCAGAAGAAACTGGGGGCTCTAGGAGTCACATGTTTACATTGCAGAGAAGGAAATGAAGAACTCGGAGAAGGCAGGCAGAAGCAAAGCCAGGCAGAGATCCTCAGATTCAGCTCCCAATTCTCCGTAAGAAACGAGACTCCCTTCCAAGCGCGGTAGCTGCTCTTCTGTGTCCTGCGGGTCTTCCCTGCAGCCCCTGCGAACCTCGCCCCTTCCTCTACTCCCCTGGCCCGGAAAGTGCCCACTCACCTGCTGCATCAGCCTTTCTGCCACTCTGGGGTCAGTGAGGTCTTCCGGGGAAGCCACACTCAGCCGCAGGAGGAGGAAACCTCCATTTTCACCTGCAAATGGAGAACAGTAAGATGAAAATCAGGGCTGGGCGCAGTGGCTCACACCTGTCATCCCAGCACTTTGGGAGGCAGAGGCAGGTGGATCACCTGAGATCGGGAGTTTGAGACCAGCCTGACCAACATGGAGAAATCCCGTCTTTACTAAAAACACAAAATGAGCCGGGCATGGTGGTGCGTGCCTGTAATCCCAGCTACTCAGGAGGCTGAGGCAGGAGAATCGCCTGAACCTGGGAGGCGGAGGTTGTGGTGATCTGAGATCGCAGCACTACACTCCAACCTGGGCAACAAGAGCGAAACTGTCTCAAAAAAAAAAAAAAAAAAAAAGAGGAGGATGAAATAGTCACATATATTTGCTTCCGTATGTACATTTCATGTGCAGAAAATTACACACAAGAGACAATCTCACGGGTTACATGTGTGGAGAGAACTGGGTGGGGGCACAGCCAGGGGAGAAAGGCATTTTATGGTGAACCTTTTCGTACCTTTCCATTTCAAATCATATGAATGTCTTATCTAATCAACAAATAATAAAGTATTTTTCTTTCCAGGGAAAAGAAGGAGCGATCAGACTGTCACTGTGTCTCTGTAGAAAGGAAAGACATGAGACTCCATTTTGAAAAAGACCTGTACTTTAAACAAGCTTTGCTGAGATGTTGTTAATTTGTAACTTTGCCCCAACCTTGAGCTCATAAAAACATGTGTTGTATAAAATCAAGGTTTAAGGGATCTAGGGCTGTGCAGGACGTGCCTTGTTAACAAAATGTTTACAAGCAGTATACTTGGTAGAAGTCATCGCCATTCTCTAGTCTCAATAAACCAGGGGCACAATGCACTGTGGAAAGCCGCAGGGACCTCTGCCCTTGAAAGCAGGTTATTGTCCAAGCTTTCTCCCCATGTATAGTCTGAAATATGGCCTTGTGGGATGACAAAGACCTGACCGTCCCCCAGGCTGACACCCGTAAAGGGTCTGTGCTGAGGTGGATTAGTAAAAGAGGATCTCCTCTTGCAGTTGAGATAGAGGAAGGCCACTGTCTCCTGCCTGCCCCTGGGAACTGAATGTCTCAGTATAAAACCCGATTGTACATTTGTTCAATTCTGAGACAGGAGAAAAACCACCCTGTGGCGGGAGGTGAGACATGTTTGCAGCAATGCTGCTTTATTATTCTTTACTCTGCTGAGATGTTTGGGTGGAGAGAAACATAAATCTGGCCTACGTGCACATCCAGGCATAGTATCTTCCCTTGAACTTAATTATGACACAGATTCTTTTGCTCACATGTTTCTTGCTGACCTTCTCCTTATTATCACCCTGCTCTCCTACTACATTCCTTTTTGCTAAAATAATGAAAATAATAATCAATAAAAACTGAGAAAACTCAGAGACTGGTGCCGGTGCAGGTCCTTGGTATGCTGAGCGACGGTCCCCTGGGCCCACTGTTGTTTCTCTATACTTTGTCTCTGTGCCTTATTTCTTTTCTCAGTCTCTCATCCCACCCGACTAGAAATACCCACAGGTGTGGAGGGGCAGGCCACCCCTTCACTTTCCAGAGCAGTTTAGCTACCATCTTTAACCCTGTCAGATGGGGTCGTGTTACCCACCTCCTAAGGCTGTTTTGAAGGTTAAATAGAGGAGATAACATATGCAAAGCTGGTGGCACACTGCCTGGCATCATAACATATGCAAAGCTGGTGGCACACTGCCTGGCATCAGATAACATATGCAAAGCCGGTGGTACACTGCCTGGCATCAGATAACATATGCAAAGCTGGTGGTACACTGCCTGGCATCAGATAACATATGCAAAGCCGGTGGCACACTGCCTGGCATCAGATAACATATACAAAGCCGGTGGCACACTGCCTGGCATCAGATAACATATGCAAAGCTGGTGGCACACTGCCTGGCACCGGAGAGAACGTTCTGCTGGGGCCAGTGCTTACTGGGTGTGAAACATGTTTATATCACCCCTGCCTATAACATGAAAGATATTCAATAATATCTTTATGTATTGAGTGGTTGTGATTAATATTTGTATTCCCACCTCCCCCAGAAAGGTGGTAACAAGCTGCGGATACACAGAGATGAGGCCCAAGGGCAGAGTGACAGGAAGTGGAGGTGGAGGCTACAGGCTGACCAGAAGCTGGACTGACCAAGCAGCCTCTGACAATGAACTTCTCCCCTGAGAAGTCCCTGTTGCCTCAGAGATGTAGCTTTAAACTCCCAAGCCTTCGCTGTATTTGCTTATTTTATCTTACCTTTTTTTTTTGAGACGGAGTTTCACTCCGTCTCAGCTCACTGTAACCTCCACCTCCCGGGTTCAAGTGATTCTCCTGCCTCAGTCTCCCAAGTAGCTGGGATTACAGGCGCCCACCACTGCGCCCAGCTAATTTTCATATTTTTAGTAGAGATGGGGTTTCACCATGTTGGTCAGCCTGGTCTCGAACTCCTGACCTCAGGTGATCCGCCGGCCTCTGCCTCCCAAAGTGCTGGGATTACAGGCATAAGCCACCGCTCCAGGCCTGTATTAATTTATTTTAAGTCACTATCTATGGCATAAATCCCAGGAAATGCATCCAGCAGGCCCCACTTTCATGGGGTCCCAGCCTGTCAGAGAGCAGCAGCTTGGGCCTGATGCCTGCCTGCTGCTCCTCTGTGTGGCTATGGCTGGAATAGAAGCTTCCAGAGCTGCTCAACAGTGCACTTCACAGAAGGTCAGAGCTGGACAGGACTTCAGTGCCCATTCCAACCCTCTCCAAATACAGGTGGAGAAACTGAGGCCCAGAGAGGGACAGGGACTTGCCCAAGGTCACTCGGGTTGTTACAGGCAGAGCCGAGACCGCAAACCATTTCTCCGGACTTCCATCCCCACCCCTTTCCATACACAACCCTCCATCTGCCTTTTCCTGATTTCGCCAAGAACCACTAGAAGATCACGAAGAGGCAACATCAGGAGCAGGCTCTGAGTAGGCTCCAGATCCTTCCCTCCTCTCCACTCCTCAAGTGCGGAGACGTCCTGGAAACTCCGCATCCCAAATCCCCGAAGATCACCAGCAGGAGCCACTTACCTGCACTCACGTCTGTGGTCGGCCTCGTCCGGGCAGTCGTGGGCGTGGCTGTTGGGGGCTTCATCGTGGTCTTCGCTGAGGTTGTGATCTTGGCTAAGGTGCTGTTCGTCCCTCGGCTGCTGTTGGTTGTAGTCGGAGGGACAGAAGGAAGAGGGTCCCTGCTGGTGGGGAAGGGCCCCTTGGTTGCGATGTCCATGGTCGGTGTCTCTGAAGGGGTGAAGTTCTTGAGGGCGGCTTCCGAGGGGCTGTAGGAGGAAGCAGAGCTCCCAGCAAAGGAAGTTGTTTTGCCCACTGCTGACCCAGCCTCTATGGAGACCGGAGCTGCTCCTGAGACTTTGACGTAACTTGGTGTCTCAACAGAGAGGGCTGAGGTTTCTTCAAGGGGATTCCTGCTAACTGTGACCAGAGCTCCACTGAGGGTCGTGGCCCCGGGTGCTGTCACTTCTCTTTCTGTGGCGCTGTTAGTGGGGAGTGGGGTCCCAACCGTGGCATCAGGTGCAGCTGACTCTGTGGTGCCGGCTGTGGACAGGGTCTCGGCAGAGGCTGTGACCTCAGTGATGTGTGGTTTTGCTTCAGTGGAGTCAGGCAGAGCTGGTGGATCGGAGGTGGACGAGGCCTTCACCCCTTCCGTGGGGATGAGATCTGTGTCTGAGGCCCCAGGGATGCTGGAAGTCGTTGTTTCTATTTCTGTGATGCTGCAATTAATAACCTCGATGTTTGTGACAGTCACCAGGGCTTCAGCGAGGAGAGTGACGTCAGATCCCGGGGACCATGAGGGGGTGATGACTGGATGGGGGCCGTCGGAAGAGGCGCTGCTCTCTGAGGCCCGTGACGGGGTGATGACTGGATGGGGGCCGTCGGAAGAGGCGCTGCTCTCTGAGGCCCGTGACGGGGTGATGACTGGATGGAGGCCGTCGGAAGAGGCGCTGCTCTCTGAGGCCCGTGACGGGGTGATGACTGGATGGGGGCCGTCGGAAGAGGCGCTGCTCTCTGAGGCCCGTGACGGGGTGATGACTGGATGGGGGCCGTCGGAAGAGGCGCTGCTCTCTGAGGCCCGTGACGGGGTGATGACTGGATGGGGGCCGTCGGAAGAGGCGCTGCTCTCTGAGGCCCGTGACGGGGTGATGACTGGATGGGGGCCGTCGGAAGAGGCGCTGCTCTCTGAGGCCCGTGACGGGGTGATGACTGGATGGGGGCCGTCGGAAGAGGCGCTGCTCTCTGAGGCCCGTGACGGGGTGATGACTGGATGGGGGCCGTCGGAAGAGGCGCTGCTCTCTGAGGCCCGTGACGGGGTGATGACTGGATGGGGGCCGTCGGAAGAGGCGCTGCTCTCTGAGGCCCGTGACGGGGTGATGACTGGATGGGGGCCGTCGGAAGAGGCGCTGCTCTCTGAGGCCCGTGACGGGGTGATGACTGGATGGGGGCTGTCGGAAGAGGCGCTGCTCTCTGAGGACAGGCCCTTAGCTTCTGTGGAGGTGTGAGCCAATGTCAATATGTCCATTGTGAGTGTCTTTGCCTCTTCAGAGCTGTCATCGGTGCAAAGGGTGTCAAAGATGGCTTCCCTGGGATCACTGCCTGTGATGGTCTGAACTGTGGTCATTCCAGCTCCCTCGGGGCTGCCACTGGCGGCTGATGTCTCCACGGAGGTGGCGATCAGCACCATGAAGTTGGGAGATGTTTTTGTGAAACTCCTGGTCTCTCTTGCAGGGGAAATTCTCTTGGCTCCCCTGGTCTCTGCTTCTGGAATGGGGCCGGCTGGGGTTGAGGCCCTAGAAGAGGTCTCAGCGCTCAGCGTTTGAGTTTCCAGAGCGGCGTGGCCCGGTGCTAGAGTCATAGCGGGCACTTCTGTGTCGTCCGTTGTCATCGCAGTGTCTGCTCTGCGGGTGCTGGGGCCTGTGTTGGTTAAGACTGACTTGGTGAGCCTGGGTTCCAGTGGACTTCACACAAGCTATTGCGTTTACACCCTGGGCACTTCTGGGAGGAGGGTGGGGCAGGGGAGTGCCGTTACCTCATTTTTCATCTACATAAGCGAACAAGAAGGAGGCAGTCCTGGGAAGCCCAGGCCTGTGTGGCAGCCATGGAGCTGGGGTTGCCATGACTGGTGTCCTCTGAAACCCTGACAACTCACTTGGGGCCAGCAAGCCCCAGGATCTGCTGGCTATCGGCCTGCGTCTTTAAGAGGGGATGTGTGGGGCCAGCGTCCACCTTCCAGGGTGAGCCAAGAAGGCAGACCAGCGTCCAGGACTCGCAGAGCTTTCTGAACCTCTGTCCCCTTCCCCGGATACTTTTCTCATCCAACACATAGTTCCCCATGGAAGTAAAAACCCTTAAAAGACGAGAAAGGCCTATGATTGTGCCTTTCGGGGTAGCTGGGTGGATTGAGGCGGGGGAACCTCCAGAGACAGGGTGGGCAGTGCTGCTGCCAAAGCGAGGGAGCCGGCAGAGTCCTTGGGGCTCCAGCAAGGGAAAGACGGCACCCCCCACCCTGCCGAGGCCCCTCCTGAATGAGGGCTGAGAACTGCAGGGTTGGAGCCTGGGAACCATGGAAACCGTGGCCAGGCATTTTCCACAGGACACCGGGAGACCCTGAGGCAACACCTAGCTTTTCAGAGAGCGGCTGCCAGCACTTCTGCCCAGAGCAGAGGCCTGTTCCCTTGACTGGCCCTGAGGTGGGAGGAATGGGAGTCCCCGAGGGAGGCTACGGTAGGATATCTTCCCTAGAGACAGGGTCTTGCTCTGTTGCCCAGGCAGGTCTTGAATTCCTGGGCTCAAGCGATCCTCCTGCCTCAGCCTCTTGAGTAGTTTACTACAAGATCTTTTCTGGCCTGAGAAAGGGGGCCTCCCCTGTCTAGAGGGAGATCGGGCTCTCCCTGTGAGTGGGCCAAGGAGCCTCTTGGAGAGGGTTTCTAGATTTAGCAAATAAAAATACAGGGTACTCGGTTAAATTTGAACTTGCATTTCAGATAAACGACGAATAACTTTTTAGCATGAGTATTTCTCATGCAATATTGGCTACATACTTACACTTAAAAAAAATTGTTACCTGAAATTCAAATGTAACTGGATGCCCTGTGTTTTATCTGGTAATCCCAGTCTTGGAAGGAAAAGGATCAAATACGAACCCCCTAATTCTCTGAGCCTTCTTGGTCCAGCCTACACAGCTGGAAGCCCAAAGGTGGCGCTCTTGGAGTCTGACCTCCCCTGGCACAGGGTTTGAGATGGTCTTTACCCAGCTCCACTGGCCCAAAAGTAGCCCATAGACCCAAAAGGGGCCTAGCACCTCTCCCCAGGGCATCAGGATGGGGCCCCAGGTCCCCAACTGGTTGTCCTGTGGACCTCAGGGAATGACGACGCAGGAGTCAAGAGCCTCGGTTGCAGCTCCCGCTGTGCCGCCCACGACTGGCTCCGGGGTCAGATGATCTGCTGGTTCAAATCCTGACTCAGCCTCCTACTAGCCAGGCCAGTCTCTAGACCCCTCCCAGCCTCCATGTCCTCACCTGAGAAAACAGGGTCACAATACCTGCCTTGCCAACGTGATGAGGACCAGCGGAGAAGGTGAAAGGGCTTATATTCCAAAGCCCACAAGGTAAGCATCCCTCCCTATGGAGTCCTCTCCCAGGCCACTGGAAAGCACGCATAGTTGATCTGACTATAGTGAGGAGTGCGGGCTGCACCCCCAGGCAGTATAGGCGAGTCCCGGGCACCCACTCTCATCCCTGGTCCAGTGCGGCCCAGCTGCACACACAAATCTCACTTTTGCAGGAACTGTTCGTCTGCCTTCATAATACAGTTTCTTCTCCCCACTTCAAGCCTGAGATCATTTCTTTGAGCCTTCTTGGTCCAGCCCACACAGCTGGAAGCCCAGAGTGGTGCCCTTGGAGCCCGACTTCCCCTGGCACATTTTCTGGCTTATCCAGGAGCCCCGGGGTGTCCTTTCTGCTGTGAAACCTCCTCATGCTCCCCAAGCCCACAGCCTCTCGGGTCCAAGGGGGTCTTCTCGAATACAGCAAATCCCAGCCCAGCCCCTCAGTAGCTCTGGAACACTGCGGCTCTCCTGGTACAATCTTCAAATCTGGTGGAGAGGAAAGCGTGTGGACTTGGGACCCTGAGTTGGAGAATCTGCTCTCTGCCCTGTGACCCTGGCCAAGTCTCTCAGCTCCAAGCCTGCATTTCCGCACCTGTAAGGTGGAGCTAACGGGACACGTGCAGCGCAGACCAGGCCACGGTGAGCACAGGCAGGAGGCCACGGGGTGCAGTGCTCAGGCCTGTGAGGAGTCAGATTCTGGCTCCGAGGAGTTGTTACTGGATGCCCAGAAGCACAGTGGCCTCACCCTTAAAGCAGTGGAGGTGGGGGGTGGTAAAAACAGGGCCGATCTTGCAGGGCCGTTGTGAGGATTAAAAATACAATGTATGATAATGATGCATCAAAGTAGGTTCCTCAGTCCTATCAAATGTGCCACTCTGGTGGGGGACGCTGATGATGGGGGAGGCTGTGAGTGGTGGGGATGGGAACTCCAGACTCTCCACTGCAGCTTTTTTTTTTTTGAAACATAGTTTCACTTTTGTTGCCCAGGCCAGAGCGCAAGGGTGCGATCTCAGCTCACTGCAAACTCCACCTCCCAGGTTCAAGCAATTCTCCTGCCTCAGCCTCCCGAGTAGCTGGGATTACAGGCACCTGCTACCACCCCCGGCTAATTTTGTATTTTTAGTAGAGACGGGGTTTCTCCATGTTGGTCAGGCTGGTCTCGAACTCCTGACCTCAGGTGATCCACCCACCTCAGCCTCCCAAAATGCTGGGATTACAGGTGTGAGCCACCACGCCCGGCCTCTCCACTCGAGGTTTAGAGGGAGCATAGAACTAAAAAAAAAATAAATCCTTTTCTATTTTTTAATGTATGTGATGAGTTTGGCACAACTCCTATTAGCGACAGGTCAGGGTTCATTCCCGTCTTTCACAAAAGCCCTGCCTGTCAGCATCCACCCTTCCCAAGCAGTTTGTGGCAGTTGGACTTTTCACACGAAATCTGTATTTTGAAGGAAATCCATGCTAGGTAATAAACTGGGAGGAGTCAGAATCTTGTTAAGCCACATTCTTCAGCTTTCTGCACAATGATCACCAGCTGGCACCTCCCTGCACCCCCGCTCCGTGCCCCACTTACTGTCCCACGTTCATAAAGACAAACTCTCAGCCATCCCTTACGATGGCAGCGTCATGGTTGATTAGCGTGTACTGCAGCGCCAGGCACGCTTACACTCACACACATCGTCATGGTTGATTAGTGTGTACTGCAGCGCCATGCACGCTTACACTCACACTGTCATTTGCACACTCTTTATCAACAATAATAGCACTTCACAAGTAGCACTGTGGTTCATTATAATCAACCCGAGAGAGCCTGCCCTTGCCCATGAAGGGTGGCTCATACTGAAATTCACTCCCAGAGCCCTACTAGGGGAGAGGCCCACCAGGCCCTTCTAGGCCTCCTTACCTGCAGAGCTCCCAGAGACCCCAACCTCCCAGCAGAAGAAGAAAAGGGGCAGAGCCAGACCCCAGAGACAGCCCATCCTAGCCGGCCACCGCTGCTCCACAGAACTGCTGGCTGTCTCTCGCGGGTACCTTTTCCTGCTTCCTCAAACCAGGGAGGAGGGGCAGCCTCCTGCCCAGGTGTGTGACCAGGTGATCACAAATGTGCAGGCTGAGGGCTGGCAGGTTGAGGCTGTCAGCAAGCTGACCCCCCTGCCTTCCTTGCCCGGTAAACACTCCACTGAAATTTGATTTGAAGATATGGAATCACTAGCTTCTTTTTTTTTTTTTGAGATGGAGTCTTGCTCTGTCACCCAGGCTGGAGTGTACAGTAATGAGATCTCAGCTCAATGAAACCTCTTCCTCCCGGGATCCAACAATTCTCCTGCCTCAGCCTCTGGAGTAGCTGGGATTATAGGCGCGCACCACCACGTCGGGCTAATTTTTGTATTTTTAGTAGAGATGGGGTTTCACCATGTTGGCCAGGCTAGTCTCAAACTCCTGACCTCAGGTGATCTACCTACCTCAGCCTCCCAAAGTGCTGGGAGTACAGGCATGAGCCACTGCACCCAGCCAAGTGCTTTTATTTTCTTAAGCCAATTAATTAGAGCTCTTTTATATATTTTCAGTAGCAAAACACTGTGTACACAACAACACATAAATACACAGATGTATTAGGTATGCTGAAAGAAGTTCATCTTATAGATTCATAAAGAGCTTTTTTCTTACACCTTCAAATTCTTTTTTACTTTTTTTTTTTTTTTTTTTGAGACAGAGTCTCACTCTGTTGCCCAGGCTGGAGTGCAATGGCTTGATCTCGACTCACTGCAAACTCTGCCTCCTGGCTTCAAGTGATTCTCCTGCCTCAGCTTCCTGAGTAGCTGGGATTATAGGCACCTGCCACCACATCTGGCTAATTTTTTTTGTATTTTTAGTAGAGACGGGGTTTCAACATGTTGGCCAAGATGGTTTTGAACTCCTGACCTCAAGAGATCTTTGCGGCTCAGCCTCCCAAATGCTAGGATTACAGACGTGAGCCACCGTGCCCAGCCACACCTTCGAATTCTTGATAACCTGTTTTACTACTCTAAGCGGTTGTCAGCTAAATAGCCTTGAATTTGCATTTTAAGGAAACTGAGGTGAAAATCGAATAGCAAAATTTACATCATAACGTATGGAGAGAAAAAGTCTGGTGTGCTGGAGGGAAATTAAAACAGATTTAATTGCCAATTAAACATAAAATTATAGAAATTATAAAGGCCTTTTAAATATATACACACACACAAAGATCCTATAGCTTTTACTTCAGAAATTTAGCCATGAAAGCTGGGCGCGGTGACTCACGCCTGTAATCCCAGCACCTTGGGAGGCCGAGGCGGGCAGATCACCTGAGGTCAGGAGTTGGAGACCAGCCTGACGAACATGGAGAAACCCCATCTCTACTAAAAATACAAAAAATTAGCCAGGCATGGTGGTGCATGCCTGTAATCCCAGCTACTCGGGAGGCTGAGGCAAGAGAATCACTTGAACCAGGGAAGAGGAGACTGTGGTGACCCAAGATCACGCCATTGCACTCCAGCCTGGGCAACAAGAGTGAAACTCTGCCTCAAAAAAAAAAAAAGAAAAAAAAAAAAGAGAAAGAAAAGAAAAAAAGAAATTTAGCCATGAAATAAATACAAATTCACCAGTTTACAAACAGAAAAACTATCTGATCCAAACAGTGTTTTTTATCTTAATAGAAAAATAACAGCAAATTTAAAGCAGGCAGAGAAGAAACTAGAGAAAAAAGAGGACTCAGGAACTCTACAGTTTGCAGGTCAACCTCAGGGCTCCTTTTTTTTTAATGTAAATGTGCAGAAAGACCATATTACTTCCACTTTACATAAACTCTGGCAAGTAGAGGCGCCATGAACCCTATGGAGTACTCGGCTGGGAGGAGCAAACGCCCTTTCTCTTTGGAGCTGAGAAAACTCAATCTCTCATTTACCTATGACAACAACAGTTCAGTTCCTCATGCAAATACATAGACAACCCAAACTGAGATTCATTTTGGGAGAAAAAGCAATAGAGAAGACCCTTTAGGATGCATCTCTGAACTAGAATTAGGATCCTTAAATCACAGCTTCCTAGAAGAGAAAAAAAAAAAAACAAAAAAACAGCCAAGACCATTCCCTGTAAACTGTGCTCAGCCACCCCTTCTTTGTAGTTCTCGTCTGCCATTACACACGCCAAGGTCAAATCCTCTCACAGTGCAGGGTCATCTCTGGTTCCCCCAAAGCCAAAGAGGTCAGGTCATGCCGTACAGGAAGACAGCAGAGCTTTAGACCTAAGAAGAATCCGCCCATCACTCTTGAAACTCCACAAAGAAAACAGAGCACCCTGGAAGGGGTGAGTGGCCCCTTTGTTCCGGATCCTTTAAAGGGGCTCGAGTCATTGGAAGCCTTCTCTAGATTTTTTTGGTCCCGCAGATGGCAAAGGCAGGAGGAGGTATAGGGAGGAAGAAAAGTAAGTGAAAGAGCATTTGTTGTTTTTGTTTGTTTGTTTTTTAAGACAGAAAGCAAACACAGAAACCAAGCACGTGATTTGTTGTTTTCGTTTAGTTTTTTCCTCTTTTGCAGCTGCAAGGAATTTTAGCCAAATTAGAGAGGCTTTGTTACCCATAATTTGGAATTCTCACTTGGATTTGACCAAGTCAGGTAGAGTTGGTCAAATCTGATGAGAGAAAGACCAGAAAAAACAACAACAACAAAAGTCAAATGATATGACCACAGACTGCTCTAATGGGAAGAAGAAATTCAGACCAGCTGGTTGTTAACCTTCAGCCAAGACAAAACCTCAGTTCAGCTACTTACCTAGGGATGGGTCTCAGGCTGAAGACTGCTCTCTACCATCCTTGAAGCAGGAAAAAAACTCGAACTTGTCTTCCCTGCTGGGAGCAAGCTCAAACTCCATAAAAGAGTTGTCAGCCTTCCATCATCACGGACCCAGGAAATCTTGCCTTCCTTCTTGGAAGCAAATAAAACTCCAAAAGAAGGAGAGGGGGAGTTGTACATCAAATAAACTTTAGATCACGACCAAGTTTTGAGAGATCAGGGACTCTATGGAGGGGGTGCTCCCAGACCTCAGCAAATTGTCCTGTTGGTTTGAGCCATAAGGTTAGCTCATGGTGCTACCAAGCACCAATAGATCTGTCAAAGGTCAGGGGTACCTCAACTCAGAATCCCTCCATGGTTACCAAAATGTGAACCCCCCAAATCTGAGACAGGTCTCAGTTAATTTAGAAAGTTTATTGTTCCAAGGTTGAAGATGCACACCCGTGACACAGCCTCAGGATGTCCTGACGACATGTGCCAAGGTGGTCATACGTTTTAGGGAGACATGAGACATCAATCAACACATGTAAGATGAACATTGGTTCAGTCTGGAAAAGGCCGGGCAACGCCAAGCAAATGTGGGACAACTCGCAGCCAGGAGAAAGCTTCCAGGTCACAGGTGGGTGAGAGACAAAGGTCGCATTCTTTTGAGTTTCTGATGGGCCTTTCCAAAGAAGGCAATCAGATATGCATCTATCTCAGTGAGCAGGGGGTGATTTTGAATAGAATGGGGGGCAGGTCGGCCCTAAGCCATTCCCGGCTTGACTTTCCCCTTTAGCTTAGTGATTTTGGGGGCCCAAGATTTATTTTCCTTTCACAAAACAATAAACATAACAAATAAGTGAATTATAGAAAGGTGAAAACTATGGAAAAAAAAGAAAAACAGAGAGAAAGAATCCTGAACACTGACGTGGGGAGGGCAGGTGCCAGCTGCAGTACTAAATACTGGTGTGGGGAGGGCAGGTGCCAGCTGCAGTACTAAATACTGGTGTGGGGAGGGCAGGTGCCAGCTGCAGTACTAAATACTGCTGTGTGGAGGGCAGGTGCCAGCTGCAGTACTAAATAGCAGAGGGGAGGGCAGGTGCCAGCTGCAGTACCAAATACTGGTGTGGGGAGGGCAGGTGCCAGCTGCAGTGCGTGGGGAGGGCAGGTGCCAGCTGCAGTACTAAATAGCGGGGGAAGATTTTTTTCTGAGCAACTTTGAGTCACTGCTCACATCTCATGCCAATGTATTAATCCCAAGTCAAGGGTCAGATGAGGCACTCGGATCTCTCCAGTTGCCAACACAGCTCTTCCAAGTGTACTTTACTTCCTTTCATTCCTGCTCTAAAACTTTATTTATGTATTTATTTTTGAGACAGAATCTTGCTCTGTCGCCTAGGCTGGAGTGCAGTGGCACAATCCCAGTTCACTGCAACCTCTGCCTCTGGGATCAGGCAATTCTCCTGCCTCAGCTTCCTAAGCAGCTGGGATAACAGGCGTGCACCACCGTGCTTGGCTAATTTTTTTTTTCTTTTTTCGTATTTTGAGTAGAGATGGGGTTTCACCATATTAGCCACGATGGTCTCGTACTTCTGACCTCAGGTGATCCACCTGCTTTAGCCTCCCAAAGTGCTGGGATTACAGGTGTGAGCCACCACGCCCAGCCCTGGCCAACTTTTGTTTTTTTTGAGACAGAGTTTCATTCTTATTGCCCAGGCTGGAGTGCGATGGCCCAATCTTGGCTCACTGCAACCTCTGCCTCCCAGGTTTGTAGGATATAATAAATTCTTCTTCAAAGGTTTTAGCCTGTAAATTGTTAAGTACAATGAGTTCTGAGATCCTCTCCAAAGAATCAATGTATCAGTATGTTCAGCTCTTCATTTTAAAGTTTAACTTCCTCGTTTTCTTCATCTCCTTGCCCCTAGTTTCAGTAAACAACCCCCTCCTAGCCTCTATCACCTGCTCCATCCTGAGTCACCCCCAGTCACCTGCTCTAATCTGAGTCATCCTGAGTCAACAGGGTTTCACCATGTTGGCCAAGTTGGTCTCGAACTCCTGACCTCATGTGATCCGCCCACCTCAGCCTCCCAAAGTGCTGGGATTACAGGTGTAAGCCATCGTGCCTGGCCAGTTTTCACTTTAAAATGATCTCTAATACCAACTCTTGGGGTCCGAATGGGTCCCCACTGGTTTCAAATGTTGAGCATGCACAGATTATGTGGATGAGAACTTGCCAGGTGGGCTTACCGAAGGAGACGTGGTAAGAATCGCCTACATCTGCCAGGCCCTGAGGACAGGCCCTCTCCACACCGAGGCTTATTTCCTTGGGTTGCAGAAGAGGAAACGCCAGGGAGCCCAGTATTCTTTGGTTCATTCACTTCTTTTTTATGTTGTAACCTACATACTGTAAACTACGCCCAGCTTAAGTAGCGTATACCCTGATGAATTTTTATGTACGTATGTATCCCCAGGATGTATCCGACACTCAGGTCAAGATACAGAACGTGCTCAGCACCTCAACAGGTGCCCTTGTGTTCCCTTCCAGTCAAGCCCCCACTTGCCACCACAGAATGGAACAATCATTTTTTTTTTTTTTTTAGAGACAGGGTCTCGCTCTGTCTCCAAAGCTGGAGTGCAGCTCCATCATGGTTCACTGCAGCCTCCGCCTCCCGGGTTTGAGCGATCCTCCCATTTCAGTGTAACCACCATTCTTATCTCTATCACCATAGATTAGCTCTGCATGTCTTTGAACTTCATATAAATGGAATCATGCATAGATAGGCTCTTTTGTGTCTGGATTCTCTCTGTTAACACTGTGTCTGTGAGACTCACTCACGCTGTGTGTAGTATTATGCTTCATCCTTTTTTGTTGTTGCATAGTATTCCACTGTATAAATATACCACAATTTATTTGTCTGTTTTCCTATTGCTGTGCATTTGGATTGTTTTGTTTTTCACTATTTTGAATAAAGCTGCTATGAACATCCTTGTGTATGTCTTGGGTATACAGATGGTCCTGGCTTACAATGATTGGATTTAAAATTGTTTGACTTTATGATGGGCTTATCAGGGTATTAAATGTGTTTCTGACTTACAGTATTTTTGACTTACCACGTGTTTATTGGGACGTAACCCCTTCCTAAGATGAAGAGCATCTGTATACATCCAGAATCCTGTGGAGCAACTCATAACCCATGAGGAATGGAAGCCGACAGACAGACTCATCCCCAGGACAGGTGGTTCTCACTACATCTCATAAAGCTTCTTAGAAGATCTTACAGGATTGAGCAACCAGCCAGCCACAGCAGGGGCCAACTGGATAACACGTCTTTGCATAGGCTCTCCCTCTGTCCCTGTCACCCTCCCCTTTTCCTAACCTTGTTCCTTGGGATTATGTTTTGAAATAAATTATTCAGAGAAATGAAGCCAAAGCTGACCCATTAGCCAATAGCTAGGTTCTGTGATGACAGAGCTTCTGGGCTATAATCGTTTACTGAGAAGCCAGCGTTCCTGAGGGGATAATGGCTCGTTCCATTCAGCTGCAGCATAGGAGTGAGGGCAGGGCATTAGCAGAAGATAACACCAGAAACGTGCTCTGGGGCCTGTTGATGACTTTCTGTGCCAAGCACAGACATTTAGCCTTTATTCTGTATGTGATGGGAAGCCAGTGCCAGTGGTGGGTTTGAGCAGGGAACCAGCAACCAGTGGTGGGTTTGAGCAGGGAACCAGCAATACTCAAGCTCTGCTTGGATGGAGGCCAGTCAGGGAGGAGTTAGGGCAGGAGGACCAGTCAGGGAGGAGACTTAGGGCAGGAGGACCAGTCAGGGAGGAGACTTAGGGCAGGAGGACCGGTCAGGGAGGAGACTTAGGGCAGGAGTACTGGTCAGGGAGGAGACTTAGGGCAGGAGGACCGGTCAGGGAGGAGACTTAGGGCAGGAGGACCGGTCAGGGAGGAGACTTAGGGCAGGAGGACCGGTCAGGGAGGAGTTAGGGCTGGAGGACGGGTCAGGGAGGAGACTTAGGGCAGGAGGACCGGTCAGGGAGGAGTTAGGGCTGGAGGACCGGTCAGGGAGGAGTTAGGGCAGGAGGACTGGTCAGGGAGGAGACTTAGGGCAGGAGGACCGGTCAGGGAGGAGACTTAGGGCAGGAGGACCGGTCAGGGAGGAGACTTAGGGCAGGAGGACTGGTCAGGGAGGAGACTTAGGGCAGGAGGACAGGTCAGGGAGGAGTTAGGGCTGGAGGACGGGTCAGGGAGGAGTTAGGGCTGGAGGACCGGTCAGGGAGGAGTTAGGGCAGGAGGACAGGTCAGGGAGGAGTTAGGGGAGGAGGACCGGTCAGGGAGGAGTTAGGGCAGGGGGATTGGTCAGGGAGGAGTTAGGGCAGGGGGATTGGTCAGGGAGGAGTTAGGGCAGGAGGACCGGTCAGGGAGGAGTTAGGGCAGGAGGACCGGTCAGGGAGGAGACTTAGGGCAGGAGGACTGGTCAGGGAGGAGTTAGGGCAGGAGGACCGGTCAGGGAGGAGTTAGGGCAGGAGGACCGGTCAGGGAGGAGACTTAGGGCAGGGGGATTCGTCAGGGAGGAGTTAGGGCAGGAGGACCGGTCAGGGAGGAGTTAGGGCAGGAGGACTGGTCAGGGAGGAGTTAGGGCAGGAGGACAGGTCAGGGAGGAGACTTAGGGCAGGAGGACCGGTCAGGGAGGAGACTTAGGGCAGGAGGACTGGTCAGGGAGGAGTTAGGGCAGGAGGACCGGTCAGGGAGGAGTTAGGGCAGTAGGACCGGTCAGGGAGGAGTTAGGGCTGGAGGACTGGTCAGGGAGGAGTTAGGGCTGGAGGACAGGTCAGGGAGGAGTTAGGGCAGGAGGACGGGTCAGGGAGGAGTTAGGGGAGGAGGACTGGTCAGGGAGGAGTTAGGGCTGGAGGACCGGTCAGGGAGGAGTTAGGGCAGGAGGACCGGTCAGGGAGGAGTTAGGGCTGGAGGACCGGTCAGGGAGGAGTTAGGGCAGGAGGACCGGTCAGGGAGGAGTTAGGGCAGGAGGACCGGTCAGGGAGGAGACTTAGGGCAGGAGGACTGGTCAGGGAGGAGTTAGGGCTGGAGGACCGGTCAGGGAGGAGTTAGGGCAGGAGGACTGGTCAGGGAGGAGTTAGGGCAGGAGGACAGGTCAGGGAGGAGACTTAGGGCAGGAGGACCGGTCAGGGAGGAGACTTAGGGCAGGAGGACTGGTCAGGGAGGAGTTAGGGCAGGAGGACCGGTCAGGGAGGAGTTAGGGCAGTAGGACAGGTCAGGGAGGAGTTAGGGCAGGAGGATCGGTCAGGGAGGAGTTAGGGCAGGAGGACCGGTCAGGGAGGAGTTAGGGCAGGAGGACCGGTCAGGGAGGAGTTAGGGCAGGAGGACAGGTCAGGGAGGAGACTTAGGGCTGGAGGACTGGTCAGGGAGGAGTTAGGGCAGGAGGACCAGTTAGGAGGCAGTGACTTAGGACTTCAGCAGTGGCACTAGAAAGGGGATGGATATGAACGACATTGCAAAGTAAAACTAGAGAGACGGCCGGGCACAGTGGCTCACTCCTGTAATCCCAGCACTTTGGGAGGCCAAGGCGGGTGGATCATGAGGTCAGGAGATCGAGACCAGCCTGGCCAACATGGTGAAACCCTATCTCTACTAGAAAAAAAAAAAAATAGCCAGGCGTGGTGGCGGGCGCCTGTAATCCCAGCTACTCCAGAGGCTGAGGCAGGAGAATTTGCTTGAACCAGGGAGTCGGAAGTTGCAGTGAGCTGAGATCGCACCACTGCACTCCAGCCTGGGCAATAGAGTGAGACTCCGTCTCAATAACAAAACAAACAAACAAAAACCTAGAGAGACTTGGCACCTTGCAGAGAGAAGCAAAAGATGACCCTGAGGTCTGGAGTCCAGGAAGCCAAGGACAGCAAAAGCATCCACAGAAACAGGAAAAGGGCAGGTGTGGGAGGGAAGGTGAGAGGTTCATCAGACCTCACAGCCCCTGGCAGCGCCTCCTGGATCTTTGAAATCCTGTGCACCCCAGGAGACTCCGGGAGGCCCATCTGAGCTCACCGGAGACAGGTCTGCCGTCTCTCCTCTCATCACTGGGGACAGAAAGCCTGAACATGAGGCCTGGACTACGGGGCTCAGACCAGAATATTTCCAGACTTAAGGGCAGTAATGTGGAGCCCAGGAAGGAATATTGAGGACAGAGGGCACATTACTTAGCTCAAGGGGTGCTGGGTTCTTATTTTCTACTTTCAAGAAATGTTTGCTATAGTCACTGTAACCACCACAAAACAGTGAATAATACCATGAGCCAAATGTATGTTTCACAATTTGTATGGCTGATTCTACGCACATTTAAATGTGTTTATGACAATTGTAGATTTCGGTTTTCCTCTGGTTAAACCAATGTGGAAGTACACAGGATGGGAGCTGAGAGACAAGCATCCTGGGCCCAGCCATGCTGGCCTCAGTGGGCCAAGCTGGGGACAGATGACCTCTGCTCCGTGGATCCTGCTGGCTCAGGGTGGGGAAGGGGCCTCAGGAGAGGAGTCAGGCTCTCTTCTTTATTCTCCTCACAGCCATGTTGAATGGCATTCCTGGGAGGCTGGTTTGGAGAACTCACTGAACCTAAGTGAGCAGGAAGTGAAGGTCTGTTCCCACCTGTGCCTGTGTTCCCAGATAGCAGCTGCCTCCAGGAGACTCACCAGGAGCCAGGTCCCTCCATACCTCATCTCAATTAACTCACTCACCAGGAGCCAGGTCCCTCCATAACTGATCTCAATTAACTCACTCACCAGGAGCCAGGTCCCTCCATACCTGACCTCAATTAACTCACTCACCAGGAGCCAGGTCCCTCCATACCTCACTCACCAGCAGCCAGGTCCCTCCATACCTCATCTCAATTAACTCACTCACCAGGAGCCAGGTCCCTCCACACAGAGTCTCAATTAACTCACTCACCAGGAGCCAAGTCCCTCCATACCTGATCTCAATTCACTCACTCACCAGGAGCCAGGTCCCTCCATACCTCATCTCAATTAACTCACTCACCAGGAGCCAGGTCCCTCCATACCTGATCTCAATTAACTCACTCACCAGGAGCCAGGTCCCTCCATACCTCATCTCAATTAACTCACTCACCAGGAGCCAGGTCCCTCCACACCTCATCTCAATTAACTCACTCACCAGGAGCCAGGTCCCTCCATACCTGATCTCAATTAACTCACTCACCAGGAGCCAGGTCCCTCCATACCTCATCTCAATTAACTCACTCACCAGGAGCCAGGTCCCTCCACACAGAGTCTCAATTAACTCACTCACCAGGAGCCAAGTCCCTCCATACCTGATCTCAATTAACTCACTCACCAGGAGACAGGTCCCTCCATACCTCATCTCAATTAACTCACTCACCAGGAGACAGGTCCCTCCACACCTCATCTCAATTCACTCACTCACCAGGAGCCAGGTCCCTCCATACCTCATCTCAATTCACTCACTCACCAGGAGCCAAGTCCCTCCACACCGAGTCTCAATTAACTCACTCACCAGGAGCCGGGTCCCTCCACACCTCATCTCAATTAACTCACTCACCAGGAGACAGGTCCCTCCACACCTCATCTCAATTAACTCACTCACCAGGAGACAGGTCCCTCCATACCTCATCTCAATTCACTCACTCACCAGGAGCCAAGTCCCTCCACACCGGGTCTCAATTAAATCACTCGCCAGGAGCCAGGTCCCTCCATACCGGGTGTCAATTAACTCACTCGCCAGGAGCCAGGTCCCTCCCTAATGGATCTCAATTAACTCACTCACCAGGAGCCAGGTCCCTCCACACCTCATCTCAATTAACTCAGTCACCAGGAGACAGGTCCCTCCATACCTCATCTCAATTAACTCACTCACCAGGAGCCAGTCCTCTCCATACCTGATCTCAGTTACCTCACTCACCAGTAGCCAGGCCTCTCCAGACCTGGCTTAATTCTCACTATACTTAATTCAATTAATTCTCACTATAGCCCTATCAGACAAACTCTAGGATACACATGAGGATACAGAGTCTCAGAAAGGCTGAGAAAGTGGCTTGAGGTCACCTAGGTGGTAAGTGGTAGAGCTAGGAGTTGAAGTCAAGTCTGACTCTCAAGTCCACGCTCTTTCCATTGCACTATCTGCTTTTCTTTCTCCCCAAAGCCACAATATGCCACGATGCGGCCCAAGGCCTCTCCTCCAGTACCGTGCTGAGGGCTCTGAACAGATCAGGGCTGAAGCCAAGATGTCATCCAGTGCAATACCCACATGACCTCCGTGAATATCTACCCTGCCTTAACACTGTTTATCTTTAGGAAGCAGGATGCCTGAGGTCCAAACTTCTCCCTGGTGATCAAACCAGCTAAGACTGATGGAATCCAAGATGGCAGCTCATTTGACCTCTAACTTCATTATAATCTAATTTCCATGTTAAATGACAGTCCCACTAACACCGTAACAGTCAACAACCAACATGACAATGATGGGAAAAAATAACATAAAAAAACAAATAGGAAGGTGGCACTCTGGTTTTGAAAATTTCTCCACCCAGACCCAGAAAACACATGATTCCTCCCCTTGCTTTTTTCATTTTTATTTTTGTAGAGATGGGGGTGTATCACTATGTTGACCAGGATGGTCTCGAACTCCTGGTCTCAGCAATCCTCTCATTTTGGCCTCCCAAAGTTCTGGGTTTATGGGAGTGAGCCATTGCACCTGGCCACTCCTCCCCTTGCTTTTAATGCTCAGCCCCTTCACTAAAGATGCCCTGTATCTGTGACTTCCTGGGTCTCACGAGCAGAAAAGTTGATTTGTGAGCCAAGCTCTCACTTCTCAATTCCATGGCCACCAAATAAAGCCTGCACTGCTTGAGGCTCACTTTCGGTTTTGCATATTGGCTTCATGGCACCAAACAGGGAAAGACCCCATTTTAGGGAAAGTGGCTTTGTCAGTAACAAGGACACAGAAGGAAAGAAATGGAGGATGATTTAGGGCAGAAGTCAGCAAACTATGGTCTATGGGCCAAATCTGGCCACTGCCTGTTTTTGTGCAACTCATAGGCTAAGAATGTTTTCTACATTTTTAGATGGTAGGAGAAGAACAAAAGAGGAAGAATGTTTTGTCACAAAAGTATATGAGATTCAAATTTCAGTGTCCACAGACGGCAATCCTGGCTCCTACCCCTAAAACAATCATTGCAGTGGAGCTCTGCCCTAGCTACGGCCCCTTTCTTCTTTTGGTTCCCTGACTTTGGGGCCTGGAGGGCACAAAGGCAAGGAGCAGGCTGCCATCCACCCCTTCTCAGAGAACCTGCAGGGAGCTCACCATGCTCTGCATCCAGTCTAGGTGGCTCCTAGCGGGGCTTGGTGGGTTCTCCATCCTCAGCACCATCTGCAGCACCATCTTGGTCATCTGAGAAGCTGAGAGAAACACAAGGTAAATGTTCCTGTCCTCATTTCTGCCTCCCAACCCCACTGCTGCTGCTCAATGTCCCCAGTATCTCTCTGCAGACTCCTGTGTGCCCTCAAAAGTCTACACGGTACCAGTCAAGAGACATCCATACTGCAAGATGATAGAAAGGTAAGTGGAACCCAACCACCTCATTCTCTACCCTCATGTCTACCACGGACAGCTGAACCTCTCCCTGTGGAACCTGGAAAAGTAGCTCAGAGAGGAGTAGCAGGTGGCAAGGAACATCAGGGAAACAAAGCTAGAAGGAGCATGTAGGCACCTTTGACCTGAAATAGACAAGATGCAAGATCTCAGGATTGTCAGGGACCTTAGGAACCATCTAGGCCACATCCCGGCTTTGGCCTGAAGTGCAGGCAAAGGGTTTGCCTCTGCCAGCCATCGCATCCAGCTTTGCTGTAGGTGGAATCGGGCCTGTATGTGAGTTACCAGGGTTGCAGAGGACACTGTGGTCTGGGTGGCAGTCTGGTGCCACATGGCAGAATTCATCACAGTAGCAACTTCCCCTCTTGCAGCGGTGATCCGTCCCAAGACAGCAAAGGTTCTGGGGTTGGGAGCAGCTGCCTGGAGAAAAAGGAACATTAAAAAAAAAAAAAAAGATTAAAATTAGCCAGGTATGGTGGTGCACGCCTGTAGTCCCAGCTACCCAGGAGGCTGAGACAGGAGATCACTTGAGCCCAGACGCAGGAAGCTGAAGTGAGCCATGATCACACCAGCGCACTTCAGCCTGGGTGACAGAGCAAGACCCTGTCTCAAAAAAAAAAAAAAAAAAAAAAAAAGGAAAAGAAAAGATAGATTTAACAAATGGTGCTTAGACAACTGGATAAGCACATGCAAAAGAATGCATTTGGACTCCTACCTCAAACCATATACAAATATTAACTCAAAATGGACCATAGACCTAAATGTAAGAGCTGAAACTGGCTGGGTGCGGTGGCTCATGCCTGTAATCCCAGCACTTTGGGAGACCAAGGCAGGCAGATCACTTGAGGCCAGGAGTTCAACACCAGCCTGGCCAACATGGTGAAACCCGTCTCTACTAAAAACACAAAAATTAGCTGGGCTTGGTAGCATGCACCTATAGTCCCAGCTACTCAGGAGGCTGAGGCAGGAGAATTGCTTGAACCCAGGAGGTGGAGGTTGCAGTGAGCCAAGATTGCACAACTGCACTCCAGCCTGGGCAACAGAGCAAGACTCTGCCTCCAAAATAAATAAATAAATAAAAATAAGTCAATCAAATTTAAAACTGGACAAAGGATTTAAATAGACATTTCTCCAAAGAAGATACACAAGTGGCCAGTGAGCATGAAAGATACTCAACATCATTAATCATAAGGAAATGCAAATCCAAACCACAATGAGATACCACCCCACATCCAGTAGGACGGCTAAGATAAAAAATAAAACAGCAAGTGTTGGCTGGGTGGGGTGGCTCACACCTGTAATCACGGCACTTGGGAACACTGAGATGGGTGGATGACGAGTTCAGGAGTTTGAGACCATCCTGGCCAGCATAGTGAAACCCGTCTCTACTAAAAATACAAAAATTAGCTGGGTGTGGTGGCATGCACCTGTAGTCCCAGCTACTCAGGAGGCTGAGGCACGAGAATCTCTTGAACCCAGGAGGCAGAGGTCGCAGTGAGCTGAGATCACGCCACTGCACTCCAGCCTGGCGACAGAGCGAGACCCCATCTCAAAAAAAAAAAAAAAAAAAGCAAGTGTTGAAGTGTTGCTGAGGGTGTGGAGAAATTGGAACCCTCATACACTGCTGGTGGAATTGCAAAATGGTGCAGCCACTTTGAAAATCAATTTGGGGAGATGAGGTGGCAGCAGAAAAGAATAAAAAAAAAAAAGAAAAAAAAGAAAAACAATTTGACAGTTTCTCAGAATGTAAACATAGAGTTGCCATATGACCCAGAAACCCTACTTCTGAGCCTGTAGTTAGGAGAATTAAAAACACATGTTCACACAAAAACCTATCAATGAATATTCATAGCAGTGTTATTCATAATAGCCAAATAGTAGAAACAATTCAAATGCCCTTCAACTGATGAATGGCTAAAACTAAATCTGGTATATCCATATAATGGGATATTACTCAGCCATAAAAAGGAATGAAGTACAGATGCATGCCACAACAACAATGAAACTTGAAAACATGCTAAGTGAAAGAAGCCACTCACAAAAGGCCGTGTATTGTATGATTCCATTTATATGAAATGTTTAGAATAGACAAATCCATCAAGACAGAAAGTATATTAGTGGTTGCCAGGGGCTGGTGAGATGTGTGGACCAGGCAGTGACTGCTGATGGGTCAGAGTTTATTTGGGGCATAACAAACATGTTCTGAAATTAGACAGAGGTGGCCAGGCGCAGTGGCTCACACCTGTAATCCCAGCACTTTGGGAGGCCGAGGCGGGCAGATCATTTGAGGTCAGGAGTTTGAGACTAGCCTGGCCAACGTGGCAAAACCCTGTCTCTACCAAAAAGTGCCAAAAAAATAAAATAAGACAGCAGTGATGGTTCTGCAACCCTGTGAATACACTGAACAACACTGAAATGTACACATGGTGAATTGTACAAAAGGGTAAATCTCACATCCTGTAAATTATCTCTCAATAAAGCTGTTATTAAACAGAGAGAGAGAGAAGGAGAGAAAAGGGGGAGATAAGATGAGGACGGTAATGGGAGTGACAGCGAAGAGAGAAATAGAGAAAACAGCAGAGAAGAGAGTGCCTAAGAGGGAGAGAAACCCCTCCCCCACTCCCCACAGTTAGAGGAAGGTCTTCCAGAGCCCTGTTTACAAACCAGTTCTGCCAACTCTACCCCCTGCCCAAATTTCCCCAAATTGCTCAGCTCAGTTGTGATCTGGTCATTGTCATTCCCTCCAAGAGAAGGGGATGCATCTTCTTTAAGAGTGCGGCAAGCAAGGCGTGGGCAGGAGGGACGCTGGCCCAGTTACCTGGCGAGTCTGTGGCTCAGGTGAGCAGGGGACCCAGGTGTTGTCACCCCAGGACTCTCAACACTCTTCTCCGTCTACTTGACTTTGACCTTCCAAATTGCTTCCTGTTAGGTTAACACCTGGCTCTTTAGGGCTAAACTGGAGGGCTTTGTTTAGGGATAAACTTGAAGGCCTTTCAAAGTTGACACGATCAACAGGGAGCAGGCCTCTGAGCCCTGTGGGCCTGGGTGTGGCTGAGCCAGTCTGTTGTGGAAACAGGGCCAGCAGGTGTCCGGTAGTGTGGTCTGGGGGGTCAAGACTCTGAAGGTGAGGGTGGCCTGGCTGGGGCCACAGCCTCTGAGTTTGGCCTGGCTTTTGCCTCATGTTCAGCTCAGGAGCCTCCTGCAAGTGATCAGCTTCTCTTCTCATGTTGTCCCTCTTCTCCAGAGCCTGGTGCTGCGTCAGGTTGTCACCAAGACCAGGGATCAACCAGAAAGGGCTGGAGTGGAAATAGAGCCCCAGGAGCCACCCAGACTAAGGTTGCCGACAATCTGTGAGACTGAGTTCAATTCAGTGGTCATAACCAACATTTATTTCAACAGGATGACACTGAATGAAATAGAATAGAATAGACCCACATACATTGTATGTAAAAGTCAACTGAGTTCTTTTTGAAATTTCTGTTGGTTTTTATACACACAGATGCACTTACTGGGTCAGAGTATAAAATGTATTTATTAAAGTGAACTGGGGCCAGAAACGTTGGAAAGCCACTGATCTAGAGAGATGTCCTCATTGTATAGACAAGGGGAGAACCTTTTGCCCATGGCTGGGAGTCAAACCAGCAATCCTGACCTCTCCCCTGCTTTCCCACCATATCGTGCTCAGGGTCCTCACTCAAAAAGCCTCTTGTTGCACGTGCTACGGAGCTCTGCTGTTCTCTAAACACCCTGCATTCTCCTGCCTCTGAGCCTTTGCTCAAGCTCTTCCCTCGGCTTGGAAGGCCCTTCCCTCCCATATCCATTAGAATTAAATATTCTATGCTTCAAGGCAGCATTTGAAGACAACTTCCCCCGGGGTGCCGAGGAGCTAGCTCATTATTATGAAGATGAAAAATAAAGAATCAAACATTGATCCAGCCTTTCCATCCAAGCCAAATAGTTGACAAGGGAAATATCTTCACGACAGAGAACCTTCGGCTAACAAGTGCAGAAAGAATGATAGAAAAGCACTACTTGGCAGCCCCTAATGAGAAGTGGATCTCAGCACAAATCATTAGTGGACAGAATTTTATAATGGGTGCACTATCTGGTGGATGAAGTTTAACACCAGTAAAAGTGGGACAGCTGGACACTTTGTGTCTCCTTCGAGGTGCGATAGGAAGTACCCACCTATGGATTCTTCCTGCCTAAGAAATCTCCAGTCCTGATCTCAACTACCAGAGTTCAGGAAAGACAGAGGCAGAGGGACATCCACAAAGATTCAATCAGTCAAACCCAGAAGGTAGGATATGCCGCAGGACACAGTACCTGGTTCGTTCAACAGCTAAATGACATGAAAAAATGGCACTGATCTAGGTATAGATTTAAAGACATTTAAGAAATATGCTAGTTAAACATGTGTGCGTATCTTTTTTGGATCTTGACTTGAATAAACCAGCTGTAAAAAGGCATTTTTCTTTCTTTCTTTTTTTTTTTTTTTTTTTTTTTTTTTTGAGACATGGTCTCACTCGGTGCAGCAGACTGGAATGCAGTGGTATGGTCACAGCTCGCTGCAGCCGCAACTTCTGGGGCTCAAGCAATTTTCTCACTTCAGCCTTCTGAATAGCTGGGACTATAGGTGAACATCAACACACCTTGCTAATTTTTAAACAAATTTTTTTTTTGTAGAGACTGAGTCTCGCTATTGTACCCAGGCTGGTCTCAAACTCCTGAGCTCCAGTGATCCTCCCACCTTGGCCTCCCAAAGTGCTGGGACTACAGGCATCAGCCACCACATCTGATCTTATTTTTTCTTTTTCTCTTCTGCTTTGCTGCTGAATAACAAGATATTTTTGACAAGTGGGGGAAATATGAACACTGATAGGTATTAAACGATAGTAAGTAGTTTTTTAAATTAATTAATTAATTAATTTTTTTTTTAAAGACAGAGTCTTGCTCTGTTGCCCAGGCTGGAGTGCAGTGGCGCAATCTCGGCTCACTGCAACCTCCACCTCCCTGGTTCAAGTGATTCTCCTGCCTCAGCCTCCCGAGTAGCTGGGATTACAGGTACCCGCCACCATGCCTAGCTAATTTTTGTATTTTTAGTAGACACAGGGGTTTCACCATGTTGGCCAGGCTGGTCTTGAACTTCTGGCCTCAGGCGATCTGCCCGCCTCAGTCTCTCAAAGTGTTGGGATTACAGGTGTGCGACCATATTTGTTTTGGCTCTGATAAGGTATTGTGGTTATATTTTTTAAATATGGGGGATAAGAGCTTGAGCATAATGTTGATAATATTGAAGGTGGCCAACTGGTACCTTGGGTTCATCATCCTATTCTCTTTACTTTTGCATGTGTTTGAATTTTTCCACAATAAATAGCTTTGGGTTTTTTTTTTTTTTTTTTCCTGAGATGGAGTCTCCCTCTGTCACCCAGGCTAGAGCGCAGTGGCGCAATCTCGGGTCACTGCAACCTCTGTCTCCCAGGTTCAAGTGATTCTCCTGCCTCAGCCTCCCAAGTAGCTGGGATTACAGGCACCCACCACCACACCTGGCTAATTTTTGTATTTTAATAGCGATGGTATTTCACCATGTTACCCAGGCTGGTCTTGAACTCCTGACCTCAAGTGATCCACCCGTCTCGGCCTCTCAAAGTGCTGGGATTACAGGCGTGAGCCACCGCACCCAGCCAAGAAGTACAGCCTTGTGCCACATCACGATGTTTAGACCGATGATGGACCATATATATGACGGTGGCCCCATAAGATTATAATAGGGCATATGCAGAAACCCGATATATGGTGCTCGATATTGGCCTTGAGGATCAAGCAGGGGAAATGACTGATGTTCAGTAATGGGACATGTGCTGGGACATGTGGCTTTCCATGTGGAAAACAAACATGTAAATAAATATATATATAAACCATCTAGGTTTATGTAAACTCTCGATTTCATTGTTGTGTGAACTCTATGATATTCATACAACAAAGAAATCATCTGATGATGCATTTCTCAGAATGTGTCTCCATCATTAAGCAACAGCTGACTGTGTTCCTACCAATGACATCTAGTTTTCTCCCAAGAGAAGTTCTAGGGCCAGGCACGGTGGCTCACACCTGTAATCCCAACACTTTGGGAGGCGGAGGTGGGCAGATCACCTGAAGTCAGAAGTTCAAGACTAGCCTGGCTAACATGGCGAAACCCTGTCTCTATTTAAAATGCCAAAAATTAGCCAGGCATGGTGGTGCATGCCTATAATCCCAGCTACTCGGGAGGCTGAGGCAGGAGA
This sequence comes from Homo sapiens, assembly GCF_000001405.40. Classification (NCBI taxonomy): domain Eukaryota; kingdom Metazoa; phylum Chordata; class Mammalia; order Primates; family Hominidae; genus Homo; species Homo sapiens. Next base: position 72,766 of record NT_187532.1, on the reverse strand, counting down.
ATGGCTTGAACCCAGAAGGTGGAGGTTGCAGTGAGCCGAGATCGTACCACTGCACTCCAGCCTGGCGGGGGACAGAGCAGACTCTGTCTGGAAAAAAAAAAATTAAAAAGAGAGAGAGAGGAGAGAGAGAGAGAAGTTCTAGTAAATGCAACTGTATTCACCCTGTTGTATTTCCAGGGATGTTTGAATAAACCCAGTAGACTGGTGCCTGGAAATTGCCCAGTGAGTCTGCCTGTTAATCTGGATCTGGGTTTATCACACCTACCTTCCCTCCTGTCCCGTCCACCCCAGCCACCCACAGTGCCCACGCTGCCTCTATCCGAGGGAGCATCCTCTGGATACTAGACCCTCCCAAGCTGATCATCCAAAGACATCTTATCCAGATATAAAACTGGATACACAAAGAAGCCACATCAACCATATAGTCGGTACTTAATAAGTGTCTGAATACATGAATTATTTGATTAATGAATTAATGAATGCTGGGTCACAGGAGGTGGGTCATGCCAGAGACAAAACAGATTAATTGATTGAATGAATGAGAGAGCAGAGATTGGGGTCTCTTTGACCTGTAGCACAGATGCCAGCCTAGCTCCTCACCTGTCTTCACCCCAAGGCTCAGCCACAGCAGGAGGAGGAGGACCAGCCACGTGGCAGCAGGCATCAAGCAGAGATAGAAGTGCTGCAGCGTCCAAGGCCTGGTCTTTAAATATCCACCCATCCCAGCCAGCCCACCTGGTTCCTCCCTACTCCTGGGGAGGAACCAGCAGACACCTGGGCAGTCACTGGCAGACAGCAGGAGTGACACAGGTATCCCAGCTGCTTGAAATAGCTCACCCAAGCAGAGGTAATTTTGACATCCTGGAAACTCCAGCCTCCAGGGGAAGAATCTGAAAAACCAGAGTGACAAAATGACAGCGCTCACAGGAACTTTGCAGATTATCTAATCTTTTTATTTATTTTATTTTATTTTTTGAGACAGAGTCTCACTCTATCGCCCAGGCTGGAGTGCAGTGGTACGATCTCAGCTCACTGCAACCTCTGCCTCCCGGGTTCAAGAGGTTCTTCTGCTTCAGCCTCCCCAGTAGCTGGGATTACAGGTGGCTACTATTACACCCAGCTAATTGCTGTATTTTTAGTAGAGACGAGTTTTCACCACGTTGGCCAGGCTGGTCTCAAACTCCTGACCTCAGGTGATCCACTGCCTCAGCCTCCCAAAGTGCTGGGATTACAGGCATGAGCCACCACACCTGGCCAATTGACTTTTATTAGCATTCATATACAGGTTTTGTGTGAATATATGTTTTCATTTCTCCGGGATAAATGTGCAAAAATGAAATTACTGCATCATATAGTAGTTGCACATTCAGTCATAAAAAAAAACAGCCAAGCTGTTTCCCAGAGTGGCTGCACCACTTTAAATTCTCACAGCAGTGATTGAGTGGTACAGTTCCTTTGCATCCTTGACAATAGTATTGTTACTATTTTTTATTTTGGTGATTCTTTTTTTTTTTTTTTTTTTTGAGACATAATCTTGCTCTGTCGCCCAGGCTGGAGCGCAGTGGCATGATCTCAGCTTACTGCAACCTCCGTCTCCTGGGTTTAAGCAATTATCTTGCCTCAGCCTCCCAAGGTGCTAGGACTACAGGCGTGTGCCACCACACCTGGCTAATTTTTGTGTTTTCAGCAGAGACAGGGTTTTGCCATGTTGGCCAGGTTGGTCTTGAATTCCTGATCTCATGTGATCTGCCTGCCCCAGCCTCCCAAAGTGTTGGGATTACAGGTGTGAGCCACCATGCCTGGCCTTATTTTGTTGATTCTAACACGTGGTGATATCTCCTGGTTTAAAGAAGCGTTTCCCTAATGGTATCAAACATCTTTTCATGTGCTTATTTGCAATCTGTATATCTTCTCCAGTGAAATGTTGCTTTGTATCTTTTGCTCATGTTCTAATTGCATTCTTTGTTTTGTTACTATTTTAAGACTTTTAAATGTATTCTAGATACTAGTCCTTTGCAAATATAGTCATGCATCGCATAAGGACATTTTGGTCAATGACAAACTGCATATAGGATGCGGTCCCATAAGATTATAATAATGGGCCTGAAAAAATTCCTGTTGCCGAGTGCAATGCTACTCATGTGTCTAGTGATGCTCGTGTAAAGCTACTGTGCTGCCACTTGCATAAAAGCACAGCGCACACCATTCTGTACAGTACACAATACTTGATAATGATAATAAATGTGTTCCTGGATAGCACAGCACACACCATTCTGTACAATACACAATACGTGATAATGATAATAAATGTGTTCCTGGTTTATGTATTTACTATAATATACTATTGATCAGTGTTTTAGAGTGTACTCCTTCTCTCTATAAAAGAATTAAGTGAACTAGCAGGCCCTTTGGGAAGTACTGTAGAAGGCATTGTTACCACAGGCGATGACAGCTCCATGTGTGTTATTGCCCCTGAAGACCTTCCAGAGAGACAAAATGTGGAGGTGGAAGACAGTGATACTGATGACCCTGACCCTGTGTGGATCTAGGCTAACATGTGTTTTTGTGTCTTAGTTTTCAACAAAAAAGTTTAAAAAGTTAAAATACTAAGTTTATAAAGTTAAAAAGTTACAGTAAGCTAAGGCTGACTTATTGAAAAAATGTGCTTATACATGTAATATAGCTAAGCTGGCTTTTGCAAACATAGAGTCCTGTGGATGTTATGCTGACTTCGGCTTGGGGTTTTTCACAGAGAGAAGCATGGCAAGGGGGACTCCATCAGGTTGGTGCAAAGGTAATTGCTGTTTTCGCAATTAAAATAATGGGAAAAACTGCAATTACCTTTGCACCCACCTAATAACTTATCTAGGGGACTCTTTCTCCACCCAAAACCCAGGACACTTGGCCCACAACTACATCACCACCCCAGGGTTCCAGGACACTTGGCCCATGACTACATCACCACCCCAGGGTTCCAGGACACTTGGCCCACAACTACATCACCACCCCAGGGTTCCAGGACACTTGGCCCATGACTACATCACCACCCCAGGGTTCTTTACTATAGTTTTCTTGTTCTTCCTTCAATTACGTGTGACATTCCCAACTCCAAGATTCTTCCAGTCCTTCTCTCCCCCTTCATCTAAAGCAGGCTGTCATGAGTTTCTGTCAGCTGCAATCAAGAGTCATGACTCTTACAGTGGGTAGGATTACTCCCTTTTTTGTTGTCATTAAGGAAACCTGTAAGAGGAAAAACAAACACACTTTATGTGGAGAGACAGGGAAAGTTGTTCTATTCAGTCTGGAATCTAGTCCCTCAGCTGGTGGTCCACCTTCGGATTCACTGGTCTTGGGAGTAAGACGGTGCCTTGTAGTCAAAGAAGTGAGGAATTCTGGTGCCTCCTGAGGGTGGAACTGAGGAGAGGAGACGTGAGAGAGGATGCTGGAAAGGAGGAAGCAGCCAGAATGTGTAGGGCCTTTGTGGCCAGGCCAAGGAGCCTCAGGGAATATCTGAGCGTCTTAAATAGGTCAGAGGGCAATTCTGAAAACAAACTCCTTCTACCTGCTGTGTAGGCAATGAGTTGTCATTGTTAGATAGAGGATAAAATGAACCCAATTAGATTATTGCCATCATTCCAGTGATTGAAGATGTTGATCTGTAATAGGGTAATGGCCATACACTTTCGAGAGGAAAAATGTTCAAATTTAGGGGATAATTAGAAATCTGCACTTACAGCCCTTGGTGACACTTTTCCTATGAGCCAAACGGAGAGGGGGAGAGAGAGAGAAGGTGGACAGTCACCGACATATGAGGCAGTGGAAGAGGAACAGGCATGGATAGGAAGAGAATTGTGGGACACACTGGGTTCGAGATGCCTGTGTGAGACAGTCTCATGAATATGTCCAGTAGTATATTGACCAAGCAAGTCTGTCAGGAGCCTCTGGAAATGAGGTACAGAATTTGATAGTCATCACTATGGAGATGGTAACCTGAGCCGTGAGAGAAGCTAAAATCCCCGGGGAGAGGATGTAGAATGAGAGGAGAAAATGGGCCAGGACAAACACAAGGAATGCTCGGAGGGAGGGGCAAAACCAGAACAGTACAGCGTCCCCAAACCAAGGAAAAGAATGTTGCCAGAAGAGGAGAGTCAGGCTGTTTCAAACTCTGCTAAGAAGTGAAGGATGTTGCATATTGAGTAGAGTCCATTGGGGTTACCAGTCAGGCTGACTCAGGGATCCTCTTTGGCAGAAGTAGTTCCAATGAAGTGGGAGGAGGAAGGGAGGAGCAGAGGCCAAATGAGCGTGAGGAGTGTTTAGGAGTTGACAGAAAGTGTATCCACTTTTTTGAGACGTTTAGCCAGGAAGAGGGAGAGACATGGGGCAGTAGGTGGAGGAGGAGATGAAATTAAGGGAGTGTATGGAGTTTTAAAATGGAAAGCTTGATCCTGTTTAAATGCTGTTTTATGCCCCTACGAGGGCGAGGTTAAACATACAGAATAGAGGCATAACTGATAGAGCCAAGACTCCCACCCAGGAGCGGGTTTCGAGCGGCACCTCTCTAATTCAATCCCAAAGGAAAAGAGGATACATGTGGGTCCAGGTACATGCTGAGGTTTGGTGGCAGGACTTTGAAGGAGGTCCCATCTGATGGCTTCTATTTCTCCTGTGAAATAGGGGAAGCCCTGTCTGCTGGTTGTGATGTGCCGTGACAGTCAGAAATGCGGGGAAAAGGGGACAGGTCTGAAACGGGAGGCGTTAAGAATGGGAAAGTAAAGGCAGGCGCGATGGCTCACGCCTGTAATCCCAGCACTTTGGGAGCTCGAGGCGGGTGGATCACCTGAAGTCGGGCATTTGAGACCAGCCTGGCCAACATGGTGTAACCCCATCTCTACTAAAAATACAAAAATTAGCCAGGCATGGTGGTGTGTGCCTGTAATCCCAGCTACTTGGGAGGCTGAGGCAGGAGAATCGCTTGAACCCAGGAGGTGGAGGGTGCAGTGAGCTGAGATCGCGCCGCTGCACTCCAGACTGGGTGGCAAAGCGAGACTCCAACTCAAAAAAAAAAAAAAAAAAGAATGGGAAAGGGAGAGTGTCTGGGGAAGCAGCGTTGCCTCGGCAAGGCCTGAGACCGGCTGGGGTTAGAGATCAGGACTCCCGCGTGGCCTCGTCTCTGCCTCTGTGCATTTTCCCCCAGCAGGTCAGCAGTGTGAAAGGCGGGGGTTCTAGTAGGTCTCACAGGGAGACAATGCAGGAAGGGGCTGAGAATTGCAAGTGAGAGGTTATTGGTAGGACGGACAATGCAGGAGCTGGATGGACTGCACGGACTGAGCGATCGCCACCGAGAGATATTTGGGGTACCCTGCCCCAGTCCCCAGCCCTCAGCCCCCGACCCACCATGGGAGGTGGGAGCAGCGGGCAGGCCGGTTGGGGGCCAGATACCCAGGCAGTGGGATGTGCAGTGGGAGGGGTCTCCGCCCCTGCCCCGGGTCCCCACTGGCCCCTCCGCCGCCGACCGGCCCCCCCGCGGCATCCCAGAGCCGACCCAGGCCCAACTAGAGGAATGGCTGCAGAGCTGGGATCCTAATGACACAGGACAGTGGTGGAGCGTTAAGAGCTCGGTGGTAAACGTGCACTGAAATACAGTCATGCTGTGCAGAAGCTCTCTAGTTTCATTAGATACCTTTTGTCAATTTTGGCTTTTGTTGCCATTTCTTTTGGTGTTTTAGTCATGAAGTCTTTGCCCATGCTTACGTCCTCAATGGTGTTGCCTAGGTTTTCTTCTAGGATTTTTCTGGTTTTAGGTCTCACGTTTAAATCTTTAATGCATCTTGAGTTAATTTTTGTATAAGTGTCAGCAAGGGGTCTAGTTTCGGTTTTCTGCATATGACCAGGCAGAGTGAACAGGCAACCTACAGAATGGAAGAAAATTTTTGCAATCTATCCATCCGACAAAGGGCTAATATCCAGAATTTACAAGGAACTTAAGTAAATTTACAAGAACAAACAACCCCATCAGAAAGTGTGCAAAGGATATGAACAGACACTTCTCAAGACATTTATGCAGCCAACAAACATGAAAAAAACTCATCGTCACTGATCATTAGAGAAATGCAAATCAAAACCACAATGAGATATCATCTCACACCAGTTAGAATGGTGATCATTAAAAAGTCAGGAAACAACAGATGCTGGAGAGGATGTAGAGAAATAGGAATAGTTTTACACTGTTGGTGGGAGTGCAAATTAGTTCAACCATTGTGGAAGACAGTGTGGCGATTCCTCAAGGATCTAGAACTAGAAATACCATTTGACCCAGCCATCCCATTACTGGGTATATACCCAAAGGATTATAAATCATTCTACTGTAAAGACACATGCACACGTATGTTTATTTATTATTTTTGAGACGGAGTCTTGCTCTGTTGCCAGGCTGGAGTGCAGTGGCACGGTCTCGGCTCACTGCAACCTCCACCTCCCGGGTTCAAGCGATTCTCTTGCCTCAGCCTCCTGAGTAGCTGGAACTACAGGCACACACCACCACGCCCAGCTAATTTTTTGCATTTTACTAGAGAAGGGGTTTCACCATGTTGGCCAGAATGGTCTTGATCTCCTGACCTCGTGATCCACCCGCCTCAGCCTCCCAAAGTGCTGGGATTACAGGTTTGAGCCACCGCGCCCAGCCCCGAGCACATGTATGTTTATTGCGGCACTATTCACAATAGCAAAGACTTGGAACCAACCCAAATGCCCATCAATGACAGACTGGTTAAAGAAAATGTGGCACATAGACACCATGGAATACTATGCAGCCATAAAAAAGGATGAGTTCATGTCCTTTGCAGGATCATGGATGACACTGGAAACCATCATTCTCAGCAAACTAACACAGGAACAGAAAACCAAACACTGCATGTTCTCACTCATAAGTGGAAGTTGAACAATGAGAACATATGGACACAGGGAGGGGAACATCACACACCGGTGCCTGTTGGGAGGTTGGGGGCAAGGGGAGGGATAGCATTAGGAGAAATACCCAATGTAGATGACAGGTTGATGGGTGCAGCAAACCACCATGGCACATATATACCTATGTAACAACGCTGCACGTTCTGCACATGTATCCCAGAACTTAAAGTATAATAATAATAATAATAAAGGAATTGAGAGACTGTTGATATCAACTGTTCCCTGAGCCACATGGAAAGCTGTATCCTCTGCAGGCTGCTTGGTGAGTATGTGAGGAGGTATATTCATTCACTTTGAGACCTATTTCTCTAAGAAAGGGTCCTGAAAGGCTTTCCCCTGCTACAGGGACAGCCCTTGGCAAGGAAGCCACTGTCCTCAGGCACACAGGGCTCCTTCATCTCCTGCAACAGATACAGCCCTTGGCAAGGAAGCCACTGTCCTTGAGCACATAGACAGGGCTCCTTCATCTCCTGCAACAGGGACAGCCCTTGGCAAGGAAGCCACTGCCCTTGAGCACATAGACAGGGCTCCTTCATCTCCTGCAACAGGGACAGCCCTTGGCAAGGAAGCCACTGTCCTTGAGCACATAGACAGGGCTCCTTCATCTCCTGCAACAGGGACAGCCCTTGGCAAGGAAGCCACTGTCCTTGAGCACATAGACAGGGCTCCTTCATCTCCTGCGACAGGGACAGCCCTTGGCAAGGATGTCACTTCCTTGGGCACACAGACAGGGCTCCTTCAGCAGACAGCAGATAGATATGCAATGCAAGCCTTGGTTTTTTGGGATGATTCCAATGCAGCACCAGATACGTGTGTCCAATTCTGGGGTTTGCTCATAGGAAACCCATGTGCCAGCAAATCTATGTCACATTCTCCAGTATCACCTTTATAAGGAATAAAGTCAATTTACTGTTCTTCTGTAAAAAGAAAGAAACGTATTCATGACTGTAGCTTGGCTGTCACTCAAGTGCAAGTGAATGGTGGATGTGGCCGCGCGGCTCCACGCACTGATTCATAATCCCCAAAAGGGACAAGGGCAGACCCAGCTCTCTGCAGGGCAAACGCTCCACAACCCAAAACACTTGTTTCTGTTGTTGTTGCTGTTTGGAAACTCCCTCTTCTATTTCCCACCTCCCTCTTTCCCGTTCTCATTCCCTTTTCTCTGCTCCTATTTCTGTTTCCCTCAGTTCCACCTAATACCCCGTGGTGTCACCCTAGCCCTTTCCTCTACCCACTCCAGCCTTACTACCCCCAACGTCCCACACCCTGGGAAACACCAAGGTCTGCCTCTGTACCTCCAAGTTCTTTCCCCGTTATTGCCCTGGGTCAGTCCTTTGTGGGGGCTCCTCTCTCCTCTCTTGATTTCTTTTCATCTGGCTAACCTCTAATCCTGTAAGATTTACCTCAAATATCTTTCAAGAAGTATTTTCTGAATCCAAGGAGGACCTAAAAGCCATTCTGCTGGCCTCCCAGAGCTGAATCTGCCCATCTCCCCCGGATTATATTAAAATTATAAGTCATGTAAAATCCTTTTGGAACGAGACAGGGTATGATAAATAAGAAATATTCAACAAGTATACGTTACTTGTGTACACATACCACCTGACTTCTTTAACAACACATTGCAAGAAATAAAAAGATGGAGACATACGGCTGGGCGCAGTGGCTAATGCCTGTAATCCCAGCACTTTGGGAGGCCAAGGCAGGTGGATCACTGAGGTCAGGAGTTCGACACCAGCCTGGCCAACATGGTGAAACCCCCATCTCTACTAAAAATACAAAAATTAGCCAAGTGTGGTGGCAGGCACCTGTAATCCCAGCTACTCGGAAGGCTGAGGCAGGAGAATCTCTTGAACCCGGAATGCGGAGCTTGCAGTCAAGCAAGATTATGCCACTGCACTCCAGCCTGGGTGACACAGCAAGACTCCATCTCAAAAAAAAAAAAAAAAAGAAAAAGAAAAAGAAAAAACACCATGCATGCATACTCATATGAATGTACAAATGGATGAGTCTAGAACAAAAGATACTAGCCTGATACATATACAAACTATGCAGCTGCAGTCCCTGCCTCTTCCGCAACCCTGACCTCTAAGAAAGCTCTAACTCTGAATCCTGTCAGCACCTGGGCTGTGCTGCTTGGGACAACATTGTCTTCACAAGTCCTCTCCACATTCTCAGAGGTGGGGGTATTGCCAATGATGGGGGTTACTGCCTGAGTCCCGTCACCAGGGGACAAAGCTACAGCAGACACCACCATCTGCCAACAAAAAGAGAGATCATCTCCCACCCCTGGTTCTGCTGACGCAATCACTGGAAGCATCGAGGCACCACTATGTCCTCACCTGCCTCGGATTCAATTTCCTCCTAGCCAGGTCTGTTCTAAGGTCTCCAGAAGTTGAGAAATTAATTGAAAGATAACACTTTCCTCCCTGTGTTAAGGTTTATCACATAATGTATCCAAATACTGGGCCAGTCTTTCCTTTGGTCTCATTTCTATGAGCTAATCTGAAAATGCCTTTTCTGTTTTCCTTAGAATTTTTCTAAATGTTTCTGGGCGCTTGTGTTCCTGAGGCTTTCCACAGTGCACCCTCTTGTTCATCTGATGTCTTTGGCACATATAGGCCCTCGACAGGTAGTTGTTCAATGAACAGATGACCATCCTGTCCTTTGTGTGAACAAGCATAGCAAGTGCACATTGTATCTGTTTGTGTATCCAACAGCGTCCCTCCAAAGCCACTTTGTTCACTTATTTTCTCAGGATCACGGACGGCTGCATCTTGACATAAGCACACAGAATCTTTCCTTTTCCAGTCACTTTTCCTTTTTCCAGATTCCGGCCATAGAATTCCAGGCACAGAGCCAACCATGCCTGGCACCCCCTCCTGTCTTGGGACAAGGATACTTTCTCCTGTGGCTCCCATCTTGCTTCCAACATTCTTCTGCCAGAATTCAGTTTGGCGGACAATGACCTACTACTTTTAATTTTTTTCCCCTTTTTGCTCTTCTACCAAATACCGCTTTTCACCCAGGCTTTTCACTGCGTAGTGGACAATCTATCAAACAGGTGCTGTCCAGCGTGAGGGGCAGTTGCAAAGGTCTGCATCGGTGCTGGCTGATGGAACTTTCCGGTGATGGCATCATTCCGTAGCTGCACTGTCCAGTGAGGAGGCTACTTGCCACTGTGGCTACTGCTTGGGATGGTGCAGGTCTGAATATCTTACTCACAGCTCACCTTTTTGGTGCCTTTGATCCGTATTAGGAATTATCCACATCTTCTCTCTGGGCAATATTCTACTTTTTATATTGACCCAATTATTTTACTTCTTTGGTGTGTCCTTTCTCCTAACACATATGGGTTCACTTTGAAACCCTGAAACCCACATTTACAAAAACATTTTCAATATGAAACATTGTTCCATGACTCATTACTGGAGTACCATCAACATTTACATTTCCAGACCACCCACTGCCCAGTGGTTTTCTTGGTCTCAGTACTCATGAAAACGGTCTGAAGGTTTGTTTTGGGTTCCTAAGTAGTAGACACACGCACAACACTGCCTGTCAGTTATTTCTTGGAAACTAAATCAGCCCTTCTGTTGCCATCCTATCATGCTTCAGGGGTGCCTGTGCTAGTTTTTAATTCTTTGTCCTAACACTTAAATGTTTGCTCAAACGCCCATATTAATACTTCCTCTTAGTTTACAAAAGGATTTACTTTCTTACTGGTTGGGATGAAGCTGCCTGAGGTTGCCACCTGTTATTTTTCCTTCATTTATTGGACCATGTCATCCCATTACATGTTAGCCGTGGAGGTTTTCAAACTGTGTTCCCTGGACATGTTAGAAATGCAAATTCTCAGACCGAACCAGGACTGAATCGGAAGATCTGGGGTAGGGTCCCTCCAGGACTGAAAACGGAAGGTCTGGGGTGGGGTACCCCAGGACTGAATCGGAAGGTCTGGGGTGGGGTCCCCCCAGGACTGAATCGGAAGGTCTGGACGAGGGTCCCCCCAGGACTGAATCAGAAGATCTGGGGTAGGGTCTCCCCAGGACTGAATCGGAAGGTCTGGGGTGGGGTCCCCCCAGGACTGAATTGGAAGGTCTGGACTAGGGCCCCCCCAGGACCGAATCGGAAGGTCTGGACTAGGGTCCCCCCAGGACTGAATTGGAAGGTCTGGGGTAGCGTCCCTCCAGCTGATCCTGTTACACAGGTTAGAGAACCATGGCATTAGGGGTAGCAATTTGACAATTCTTTTTTTTTTTTTTTGAGACAGAGTCTCACTCTTGTTGCCCAGGCTGGAGTGCAGTGGCGCACTCTCGGCTCACTGCAACCTCCGTCTCCCAGGTTCAAGCAACTCTCCTGCCTCAGCCTCCTGAGTAGCTGGGATTACAGGCACCCATCATCATGCCTGGCTAATTTTTTGTATTTTTAGAGATGGGGTTTCACTATGTTGGCCAGGCTGGGACAATTCTTAAACTGTCATTCTTTACTCACTTACTTGCAGGAATTCTTATGTAAAGAACTTTCCCTAATCAACAAGGTTTCCCTGAATTGCAATTTGTAGAGAAAAGACAGGATAATTACTGATCTTCCTTCAAGTGTCCATTCCCAGTGTTAGGAGTTAGTGCCCTAGGTACCTCCAAGAGTGACCAATTACATGTGTTTGTTTGGTTTTGGCTTTGAAACCACCACTATGAATTCATGGTTTTCATGTATTAGAGACCACTTTCTAGGTGCTTGATGTGTCTACTGCTACTGGGGCAGAGGTAGAAAATGTGTCTACGGTAAAAGAACAACAAATGAGTTCACGCTTATATTTCTATTTCAAATTTAGTATACGGTTTTACACCTTTTTCTCAGAAAAATCTTGTTTTATTTTTTGAGATAGAGTTTTGTTCCTGTTGCCCAGGCTGGAGTGCAGTGGCACAATCTCGGCTCACTGCAATCTCTGCCTCCTGTTTCAAGCGATTCTCCTGCTTCAGCCTCCCCAATAGCTGGGATTACAGGCACCTGCCACCATGCCCAGCTAATTTTTCAATTTTAGTAGAGATGGCGTTTCACCATGTTGGCCAGGCTGGTCTCAAACTCCTGACCTCAGGTCATCTGCCCACCTCGGCCTCCCAAAGTGCTGGGACTTGGGAGGATTTTCCCTTGCCAGAAAAATCTTAGTTTTAGCATTAACATAATTAGTTATTTGCTTTAACTCCCACCCCACATAATTTCAAAGGATTAATACCTATAAGACGAGTAACGGAGATGATTGATTGAAATTTAGGATTCAGTGGCTCTATTTGTCTTTAGACTATGGCTCACTAAATCTGCACACTTGAAGTGCTGTGTTCTAGCGATCCTCTGATGACACATGAAGTAATAGGCTGCGTGACTGTCACCAGCCTGATGTGCAGTTGGGCTGCAGAACCCCGTGATGCTGCCTAGCCCAGCCAGCCCCAGGTCACTCCTCAGACTCAAACTCGATTCTGACACCACCAGCACCCGGGACGCTGCCTAGGGGCTTTCTCTGGTGGCAGCAGCATGTCCTGGAGCAGGCCAGGGGTGCCCGGAATTGACCATCCTGAACCTGTGCAGCGTGGGCTGGTGAAGGAACGCACCAGCTCCCACAGTGAACACGGGCCCAGCTGTCCACATGAGACCCGGCTCCCGGACGCCCCATGCTGCCGCCTCTTTCCTGTCTCACCTCCCACTTCCCTTCAGCTGCTGCTCAGGGCCACCTTCCAAATTTTTGTCTCAGGGTTGGCGCCTGTAGAATGCAATCCAAGGAATTTAGATTCATTCATTTCAGATACCATTCTTTCAATTTTAGGGACTATCTTAAAAACTTAGTTTGGTAATATGTAAAACACTTACAATTTCAAAGTCCAGATATTACTTCAGAGTCTATTTCGGTCTCACTTCCACCACTGACCCCTGTCCTCCACAGCAACCACTTTAGATTTTTATCTTTGTACTGTTTTAAGAAAAAGCAAATATATATTTGCATTATATTATATGTACTCTGCCCCTTATCAATAGGCGTTCCTCATTCCTCCTTCTGGTACGGAGTTCCCCACTGCACGAATTAATGTTCCTAATCCCTTACTGATGGACATTTTGATTGTTTCCAGTTTTACAAATGCCACAGTGAAGAACTTTGTGGCAAACACATTCAGGCTGTGAAAAGAACTCTGTGGATAAAGTCCTTTCATTTCTTTGCCAGAGTTTTTTTTGAGGCAGATTCTAGAATTGCTGAGTCTAAGGGCAAATGCCATGTCGTTTTGTTAGATGCTGCCAAATCCTCTTCCATGAGGCTGCAACGTTCTGCATTCCACAGTGACGTATGAGAGTCCTTGTACCCCACAGCTTCATAAACAAAGCATGACAGCAAACCTGCACGTTTACCCATCACACAGTTGAGAAATTTTATCTACTTTCACCTTTTTTTTTGGTTAGCATTTTTATTCCCAGCTTTTTTGTGGTATAATGCGCAGAAGGTAATGAACACATTCTACCTGCAAGCTTCTTCCTGTGCCTTTGGAATCTGCTCCTGCCAGTCTGCAGGGAACCACGGATCTGCTTTCCGTCACGTAGGAGGCATTCTCGACACCCTCTGTACACAGCATGCGCTTTATTTGGCTTCTCTTACGCAGCGTAGTGACTTTCAGATTTATTCAAGCTGCTGCGTGCGCCAACAGTCCACTCCTTCCTAGTGCTGAGGCCCCCATCACATGAGCACAACTGTTTCTTGTGTGTGATGTGTTGTCCTCTGGCTGTGCACTGCCAAAAAAGACATCATTAAAAAAAATTTAAATATAATGTAAGACCTGCCTTGTCTTAGGAAACGTTTTTCTGGCAGTGGCTCACACCTATAATCCCAATACTCTGGGAGGCTGAGGCAGGAGGACTGCTTGAGCCCAGGAGTTTGGGACCAGCCTGGGCAAGAGGGTGAAACCCTGTCTCTAAAAATTAGCCAGGCATGGTGGCTCACACCTGTAGTCTCAGCTCTTAGGGAGGCTGAGGTGGGAGGACTGCTGGAGCCCAGGAGGTGGAGGCTGCAGTGAGCCGAGATCACACCACTGCACTCCAGCCTGGGCAGCATGGCAAGACTCTGTCTCGACCAAGAAAAAAACAAAAAATTAACAGAAGGAAAAACAAAACGGCTTTCTTATCAAAAATACACTTTAAGAACAAATTTATAATATTAAGTTGCTGCAAAAGTAATTGTGCCTTTTACCATTGAAAGCAATGGCAAATACTGCAATTACTTTTGCTCCAACCTAATATTATTTTCTAATGACAAACTTGGAAATAACTGTCATTGCTCTCTAAAAAGAACAGCCTAAAAATAAAGCAGCAGCCCATTTACTTCTATGCCAGTTCTTTTAGCATTTGGTTATTTAAACCGGCAGTCCCTAACCTTTTTGGCACCAGGGACTGGTTTCACGGAAGACACTTTTTCCACTGACAAGTGTGGGGATGGTTTGGAGATGAAACGGTTCCATCTCAGATCATCAGTATTAGATTCTCATAAGCGGGGCATAACCTAGATCCTTCTCATGCGCAGTTCACAACAGGATTCCACTCCTATGAGAATCTAATGCCACCACTGATCTGACAGGAGGCGGAGCTCACACAGCAATGATATGACAGGGGCGGAGCTCACAATAATGATATGACAGGGGGCGGAGCTCACACAGTAATGATATGACAGGGGGCGGAGCTCACACAGTAATGACAGGGGGCGGAGCTCACACAGTAATGATGACAGCGGGCGGAGCTCACACAGTAATGCTCTGGCAGGGGGCGGAGCTCACACAGTAATGCTCTGGCAGGGGGCGGAGCTCACACAGTAATGATGACAGGGGGCGGAGCTCACACAGTAATGATGACAGGGGGCAGAGCTCACAGTAATGCTCTGGCAGGGGGCGGAGCTCACACAGTAATGCTCTGGCAGGGGGCGGAGCTCACACAGTAATGCTGACGGGGGTGGAGCTCACACAGTAATGCTGACAGGGGGTGGAGCTCACACAGTAATACTCTGGCAGGGGGCGGAGCTCACACAGCAATGCTCTGACAGGGGGCAGAGCTCACACAGTAATGCTCTGGCAGGGGGCGGAGCTCACACAGTAATGCCGACGGGGGTGGAGCTCACACAGTAATGCTGACAGGGGGTGGAGCTCACACAGTAATACTCTGGCAGGGGGCGGAGCTCACACAGCAATGCTCTGACGGGGCAGAGCTCACACAGTAATACTCTGGCAGGGGGCGGAGCTCACACAGTAATGCTCTGACAGGGGGCGGAGCTCACACAGTAATCTCTGGCAGGGGGCGGAGCTCACACAGTAATGCTCTGCCAGGGGGCGGAGCTCACACAGTAATGCTCTGCCAGGGGGCGGAGCTCACACAGTAATCTCTGGCAGGGGGCGGAGCTCACACAGTAATGCTCTGACAGGGGGCGGAGCTCACACAGTAATGCTCTGGCAGGGGGCGGAGCTCACACAGTAATGCTCTGGCAGGGGGTGGAGCTCACACAGTAATGCTCTGGCAGGGGGCGGAGCTCACACAGTAATGCTCACTGGCTGGCTGCTCACCTCCTACTGTGTGGCCTGGTTCCTAACAGGCCATGGACTGGAACAATCTGTGGCCTGGGGATTGGGGACCCCTGATTTAAAGAATCGAGGACACACTCACCTAGCAAACCATCTGCTAAGAAAAAAGGAGGAAAAGCACCAACATTAATTTGAACTTAGAAATAAACTACAAGGCCAGACATGGTGGTTCACACCTATAATTCCAGCACTTCGGGAGGCCAAGGAGGAACGATCACTTAAGCCCAGCAGTTTGAGACCAGCCTAGGCAACAAAGTGAGACCCTGTCCCTACAATTACAAAATAAATGAGCTGGGCGTGGTGGTGCACACCTGTAGCCCCAGCTACTTAGAAGGCTGAGTCGGGAAGATCACCTGAGCTGCCCAGGAGTTTGAGGCTGCAGTGAGCTGAGACTGCACCAACCCTGTCTCAAAAAAAAAAAAAAAAAAAAGAAACTGCAACAAAATATCTGGATTTTGATGTAACAGAATACAAAGATAATTACATTTGATTTTTAGGTCAACAAATATGACAAGTCATAACAGGAAAATATTTTAAATGGATTTGGAAATAAAAGAAAGTTTGTTCATTTATATTTTATTTAACAGCTGTGCCCAGTTTTATCTTGTCACAAGAATGAAGCAAGGGACAAAGGTAAGTGCCACGCTCCCCGGCCACTGGGTGCCAATCCCCCTTCAATGTACTCCTTCTTCCCCAGAGTGCAGAAGCGTATAAAGACAGTTATGACATTGACACATGCATGAGCTATTATACATAATTACAAAAGCTGATTCTGTCATCACCACATCTTGTCTCATCAGTAGGAGTGAATGGCTGGGGGGACAGTGGCACAGTCAGCCTCGTTCAAAGTTTTGTCAATTATGGGTCTATATTCCACAGTGACCTTGAAAAGAAGTCAGTGGTAAGTTAAGCACAAAAATGTACAAAAAGCCATCTCTTGTGTTCCTTTTGAAAAATTTTAACTATAAAAGTAGATTTACGGCATGTGAACTTTAAGGTATTTGCTGCAGTATTTTCCAATAACAAATTCAAAAATGATCTACATGCGCAACAGGGGACTGTAAATGACGGCAGATCGGTAGAGTGGAACAGAGCAACGAAAATGACACTGTACCAGATTCTCAGTGCTTTGCTTTACAAAAATGCTCCCATCATGAAAAGTGGGAGAACCCTTGTCTATACCAAGACACTTCATGTTTAAACTATCTACTTCCAGTTTTTCTACTTCAAAGTAAATATTTATATAGGTAGAACATCCCTAATCCAAACATCTGAAATTCTCCCAAATCTGAAACTTTCTGAGCACCAGCATGACATTCAAAAGAAATGTGCTATGGAGTCAGATCTTCCGATTAAGGATGCTCAGACAGTAAGTGTAATGCAAATATTCCAAAGTCTGAACAAGCCTGAAATCCAAAACACTTCTGGTCCCAAGGATTTCAGAGAAGGAATACTCAAGCCGTGTATTAAATATGCACACACAGGAAAAGGTAGGCACATATACAAAGAAATTTAAACCATAATGGGTCATCTCTGGTTAGTGAGCTCTTATTTCAATCTCTTTGTACTTTCTAAAATGAGTATGTATTTCTTCAAAAATCACTGAAACTGGCTGGGCGTGTTGGTTCATGCCTGTTGGGGAGGCCAAGACAGGTGGATCACTTGAGCTCAGGAGCTCAAGACTAGCCTGGGCAACGTGGCAAAACCCCGTCTCTACAAAACATACAAAAATTAGCCAGGCATGGTGGCATGTGCCCGGGAGGCTGAGGTGGGAGGATCACCTGAGCCGAGGGGAGGTTGAGGCTGCAGTGAGATGAGATCGAGCCACCACATTTCAGCCTGGGCAAAAGAGATGAGACTCTATCTCAGAACAACAAAAACAAAACAAAAAACCTGAACCCGGAAACATTAAAAATAGACTTGTGCTAAGCGAGTGAAGTGTGACCTCTCTATACTATCAGGAAATGGCCTTCATGATAAATTCTGAAAATGACCCACTGCCTGAATCACAGACACACTAGATGATAGTGAGAGTCCAAAGGTAACTTCCACAGACACAGCTAAGTGATTATACGACTCTCCCTTACAAGTTATGAAAAGCTTAAGGGTAAAAGCTTTCTATCTTCATGATTTCTGAATCTCAATGCCCAGTGGAAATGCCACACAGGTGAACTGTGCTTGTGTGGAACAAGCTGCAACCCCCTACCACACCCTCGGCTGGCTGTTCCCAAGACGCTGTGCTTGTGTGGAACAAGCTGCAACCCCCCTACCACACCCTCGGCTGGCTGTTCCCAGGACGCTGCTTACCCCAACCCTGCCTCCATTTCTGCCCTTCTCTGCTTGCTCAGTGCCCAGGGGATGCTAAGGGCTGCACCACATCCCCTCTGCTCCCCTGCAGATGCTTCCAGTTGGCCCAGCCCATGGGAAGAGAGGGGAGGGGTCTCTTCTGGGCTCCCTTGGCTCGGGACTGGTTTCTGGTAGTGGCTCTGTCCCCACCACACAGATGCTGACTTTCTCGCTAGGTCCACAATCATCATCTCCTCCCCTGCCACCAGGCCTTGGACACTTGCTCCTGCCCAGTGACTTCCATCTGGCCCACACCACAGAGCAACCCTTCCTTAAGGCTCCTCTGAACCACCTGCAGGCACTGGATTCTGTTTCCAGCCCGAAGCCCGACTGCTGTCAGAGTGCCTTTTTCAGCGGTGCCTCAAATCTGTCGGGAGTTGATTTAAATCTGGCCTGCTCCTCCGCGTTCACCATCAGCAAGGCCAGCCCGCAGACCTGGGCGGGGCCGTGTGGGTGCTGGGCTGTGGTGAGAACGAGCTCCACACTGACCTTCCCAGTGCCGACGTCCACATAGGACAGGGTGTGCTTCCTCCAGTGCACCTCAAAGGGCTTCTTCTGTTGCCCCTGGATGGGCTTGGAGTGATCATACTCATCAATCTGCACCTGAGGCCAGAAACACCATCACATTTCTCATTACTCTAACAGAGCAATACAGAAAAAACACAGCAAACATTAAAATGATCTAAGAGACAGATGCCCTAGAACCCATTCCATTTCCACTTCAGCCCAGGAGGTTGGCACCATCAACACGTTCAGAACCCACAGAGGCCACATGGCTGGCCAGCGATGTGCAGCCAGCAGTGAGTCCAGAGTAATCCATGTCCGCATGTTCCCTTAGACATCCTTTATGTACCTAAGAGTTTATCAAATACTTTGTCTTTTTGCTCCAAGCGCTGGGAGACTACCTCCATCTTTTCTTTCAGCCTGTTTTTATTAAAAACACTTTTTTTCTCTTTTGAGACAGGGTCTCGCTATGTCACCTGGGCTGGAGCGCAATGGTGTGATCACAGCTCGCCAGAGCCTTGACTTCCCGGGCTCAATCAATCATCCTGCCTCAGCCTCCTGAGCAGCTGGTACCTCAGGTGTGTACCACCACGCCTGGCTAATTTTTTAATTTTTGTAGAGACAGGTTTCGCCATGTTGCCCAGGCTGGTCTAGAACTCCGGGGCTCAAGTGATCTGCCTGCCTCAGCCTCCCAAATGCTGGGATTACAGGTGGGAGCCACTGCACCTGGCTTCTATTCTAATTAAAACTCGTTGTCACCAACTAAATTTATGCTCCTGGCCAGGCACAGTGGCTCATGCCTGTAATCCTAGCACTTTGGAAGGCCAAGGTGGGTGGTTCACTTGAGGTCGGGAGTTCGAGACTAGCCTGGCCAACATGGTGAAACCCCGTCTTTACTGAAAATACAAAATTAGCCGGGCACGGTGGCATGCGCCTGTAACCCCAGCTGCTTGGGAGGCTGAGGCAGGAGAATCACTTGAACCTGGGAGGCAGAGGTTGCAGTGAGCTGAGATCGCGCCGCTGCACTCCAGCCTGGGGGACAATGAGACTCCATCTCAAAAAATTAAAAATAATAAATTTATTATTATTCTGTATTCTGGCAAACACGGATTCATATACTTTGCAGGAAAGACTCTTAATATGTATGAGGAGACGAGCAAATTCTGAGCAGTGATCACAGCCATCAGCATATTCTAGTGGAGGGTAAATCAGTAAAATTTCATGGTGAATAAAAATGATTTTCCCATTCACTGTGTTCAGCTGACTGGAAAGGCTGCCACCAGCCGCCCACACATGGCCCTGAACCAGCCTGTGCGCCTGCCTTGTGGAGCCTTTGTCCTTTTGCCGATGTGGTTTATCCTGAACTTGCATTTGCACCCCAAGCTTCCCTTTCCGTCGTTTTTTGCTATCATATGTGAAAAACTCTTACCAGGCAGAATCCAACACGTGTGCTCTGCACAAAAATCAGTTCATCTGAAGAACAAGTGACCACAGGGCAGTCTCCGTAATCAAACCACAGGACAGGCTCTATAATACCTTTTCCAAACCACAGGACAGGTTGGAAACAGTGGCTTACTCGTTATTTAGTAAACTGGCATTTCCTCCACAAGGCAGGTCTGAAACGGTGACTTACTTGTTATTTAATAAACTGGCATTTCCTCCACAGGGCAGGCTTGAAACGGTGGCTTACTCGTTATTTAATAAACTGGCATTTCCTCCACAGGGCAGGCTTGAAACGGTGGCTTACTCGTTATTTAATAAACTGGCATTTCCTCCACAGGGCAGGCTTGAAACGGTGGCTTACTCGTTATTTAATAAACTGGCATTTCCTCCATAGGGCAGGCTTGAAACGGTGGCTTACTCGTTATTTAATAAACTGGCATTTATTTCCTGGTCATGCCACGCTGGCTGCACTTCTAACCTTGGCCTTCTAACAGCAAAGCACATTGGCTTGGAGATGCCACTGCTGGCATCAGTGGATGCCGACCCAAAGCAAGGAACAGGTCACAGTGATCCAGAAAATGGCGAGAACCCAGGGATCAAAGTTACCAGAGGGAAAAAGGCATTTTTTGGATATACTTTTGGGGAAACGACATAAAATGCAGAGAAAATGCAGGGGTGGGGCTGAGTCCCACCAGGCGGGAGGAAAAGGCAGGTGCAGGTGGGCGTGGCGAGAAGGCGCACCTTGTAGTCTTCCCCGGCGTGCGCGCCCCGTGACTCCTTCCCCGCCTCTGCTCCATTGACGGTCTGCAGCGCACATAGCATCAGGTTCTGCAGCTCCAGGGTCTCCACCAGGTCCGTGTTCCAGACCATTCCTGGGGACACAAAAAGTTCCATCAGGGGCAGGTGGGACCCAGTCACACGGGCCCTCCGAGCTGTCAGCCTGGGCCTGCTAGTCCATGGAGTCACTGGTTGTGGCTTTACAGCTGGGGGCCAGCACCCATCCAGACAGCAAGCATGGAACTAAGTCAGCACTGACGGGACAGACACCAGCCCACCCTGCAGAAGGCAGGGCCCAACAGTGTGCACAGAGCCCACTGTCTGCTCACCCCGGTCAAACGTCTTCAGATGCTTCAGGTCTCCATAGAGCTTGCTGATTTTCCCACAACCTTCTTGCAACAAGCTTCCCACACGGAACACGGCAGCATGATTTTGCGTTGACTGTGGCACAAAATATTATTTGTAAACTTTTAATTCATAGAAGCAGCCATACCAAGAACTGCTTAACTTTTAGACCTGTTGTTTTGCATTTCATTTTATTTATGTAAATTAAACAGAAAAATTAGGAAATTTAGACTATGAGTTTATTACTCTGAACTTAAAAATGAAGTCTTGACTAAAGCTTCTGAATAAATGTTTCTATTATATACATATCTTAGACCCACACACATCCTTTCCAGCGGGATACAGCCAGGGTCCAGGACGCCAAGCAGACTGCCTGTGAGGCACCACGTTCCATACGGCTCCACGGCCAACCAGGCAGCACTGCCTCCCCACACCCCTGGCGGGACTCCTGATGTGGGGTCTGGTGGTGAACGTGACACGAGCCAGCAGCCCTGTGGTGATACACACAAGGAGGAACTGAGCAGAGCCCTGCTGATGGTGGGGTTGGAACCGAAGGTCTTCAAGGAGAGGGAGGGGCGTGGGTGGCTGGGGCCCTTGGCCCATCTGGCTACTGTCTTCTGCCTATTTTGTAGAAGCTCCTTGTACACTGAGTTCCTTCATAGTTTTACTATCACGAGAAACGTGCTAGGAGTGGACCTGAAGTTTACTTAGGTATGCTGGGAACTGGGCATCAGCTTTTGCTTCCTGTGGGACACACAGGCACCACCTCCGTGATCCCTCCTCCTCCTTGCTTCTCCCTCTAACTGTGCTTTGCTCCACTGACCCTAATTGTCTCTTCCTCTACCAATGCACCTTCGTGGTTCAATTTGGACATTTCATCTGATTTTCCTTAGACTCATACATAATCGTAACACTGTAATGCACATCAACCTAATGGTTTTTCAGGAAGAACAAATGAAAAAAATTGCATCTCAGAATCTAGTATTACATTCTTTCATGTCCTTTAGCAGCGACGTTTTCATATCATCTTTTCGTATTTCTGGTTACATTATTTCAAGGCATTTTAAATTTTTTGTTTGAAATGCGAATGAGATATTTACTGATGTCTGAGCAGATTACTGCTGGCACATTGCAAAGCTACTGATTTTTACATACAAATCTCTTATACACATACCTTACTACATTCTTGTTTTGTTTCTGTTAGTTTTTCCGTTTATTCTCTGGAAATTTTTTGGAAATTATATCTGTAAATAATGGCAACTGTATCTATTCCTTTTCAATATTTACTGCCAAGACCAGCTGGGTCATGGAAACCCTAACCCAGTGGCACTAGAGGAAGTAAAGACACACACACAGAAATATAGAGTGTGGAGTGGGAAATCAGGGGTCTCACAGCCTTCAGAGCCAAAAGCCTCAAACAGAGATTTACCCACGTATTTATTGACAGCAAGCCAGTGATAAGACTTACTGAAAGTATTCCTTACAGGAAATAAAGGGATGGGTCTGGCTAGTTATCTGCAGCAGGAGCATGTCCTTAAGGCACAGAGCGCTCATGCTATTGTTTGTGGTTTAAGAAGGTCTTAAGAGGTTTTCCACTCTGGGTGGGCCAGGTGTTCCTTGCCCTCATTACGGTAAACCCATAACCTTCCTGCGTGGTCGTCCTGGCCATCACGAGCACGTCACATGCTGCAGAGATTTTGTTTATGGCCAGTTTTGGGGCCAGTTTATGGCCACATTTGGGGGCCTGTTTCTATCAATTTACCTCATTTCTTTTTTTGATTGTTACTATTAATAGCCAGAGTCAGCAGAAAAATCCCTTCCCCCAACGAAATGCATTTCCGCAAGCATAGGAAGCTCTGTTTGTTCAGTGCTGACTCCGGCACCTCACGGAGCCTGGGATACAGCAGGCACCAAGACACACCTTGTTTGGTGGGAACACTTCTAGTATTCTCACTTCAAACTATCTCAGATTTGCCATTTCTATATCCTAAGGCATGTTCCCATTCTCTAACGCAAGGGTTCCTTCTTTCCCAGCTGGCCTCCAACCCTACAAAAGCACTGCAGGGCATCACTCAGCCTTCTGTGCCTTAGTCACGCTGTTCTTCTCACCGTTCCACAAAACCTCCCTCAAGCCCAGCCTCACCTGAAGACCGAAGGGCACGGGCCTCTGAAAATTGTCAGCAGGGAACCTGTTCTCTTGTGTCTAACACCAAATGCCTTTCAGAATAGGACTAAAGCAGTGGACTTCTTTCTAGAAAATACGCAGAAATTCTTGCAAATAGCAGACAAGAGATCTCATTCATGGACAAGAATCCTTGTTATTAGAGGAATTGAGTTTCTTAGACTGACTATATATCAGGTTCTCCACGGCCCCATGGCTAATGGCTGCCATACTGGACGGCAAACACTCAACATTTCCATCATCACAGACGGTCCTACTGGACCGACTCCCAGCAGCACAGGCCGCACAGATCACTGTCCACCTGCCGCCCACTCTCCCTCTCTGCTGAGTATATTTAGGGGCAGCAACAGGTCTAGCTTAAAGACGTTTCCGAGCTGCTGGAAGCCAGGCATGATGACATGATCAATATCTGGGCCTGAGATGTAAGCACCAGTGTTGTGTTGAACTCCAGGAAACCTCTAAGAGAAAGCTGCCCTGCTGGGGACGGAGCTTCTCCGGCAGTCCTGCGGCTCCCTCTCCTCCACACTGTGACTCATCCATGACAGCCAGCGACGGTCAGGGCACGGAGGTCATGCCCAAGCACACACGAGTGAACCACAGAAGGCTGTCCTGGATGCTAAGCAGTCACTAATTCTGCCCTGGCCTGCTGACCTTCTATGTGGAGAAGAAGTGCACTTCTGGTCTCTTTCATATTCTTGATACAGTGAGGAGTATGTCCTACTGCTGTTTACCTCCACATACTGGTGCAGCCTCGTATGTTTATTGCAGCACTAGTCACAATAGCAAAGTCATGGAATCAACCTAAGTGCCCATCAACGGACGACCGGATAAAGAAAATGTGGTACATATATACCATGAAATACTACTTGGCCATAAAAAAAGAATGCAATCATGTCTTCTGCAGCCAGACGGATGGAATGGGAGGTCACTATCCTAAGTGAGTCAGAAGGTCAAGTGTCACACATTCTCCCTTGGAAGTGGGAGCTGAACGGTGAGTACACATGGACACACGGAGTGGACTAACAGACTGTGGGCTCCAAAAAGCGGGAGGGGTGGGGATGAGCAATTACCTGCTGAGTACAACACACACGACTTGGGTGACAGGTACATGAAAAGCCCAGACTCCACCACCTCCCAGTACATCCACACAAAGCTGCACCTGCATCCCCCTAGATCTGTTTTTAAAAAAACAAAACCAGTGCAGGGCCAGGTATGCAGCCAGCCTGCTCACTCCAGAGCGAGTCCAGGCTCTTACCTTCTGCATGCTGAGTCGCAGTTCCGATGTTCTTATGCTTCTTCCATCAGCAAATCTCAATTTGTCAAGATTCGTGACAGATTCTTCCCCAGCATTTGGTTTAATTGGAGGGACTTTATCTCCTAAAACAACAACAAAAAGAGCTAGAATTTAACTTTTGAAAACCGTTTTAAAAAAACAAATGGATTTAGTACTACACACAAAAATGTAGCATAGCCGCTCAAGGAGCCTGGAAACGGTGTAAGTCTCCTGAGCTAACACACTGCCAACCCACCCTACATCTGAGGCCATCTGTTGAGTTGGGGCCAATTTTAAAGAACAGACATAAAAGGCAAAACTGTTGGCACACAGTAGATATCCATTAAGTGATCTTAGAGTGAATAAACTAGAAATCATCTCTAAAATTAAAAAATTAAAATGTAGGCCAGGTGCAGTGGCTCACGCCTGTAATCCCAGCACTTTAGGAGGCTGAGGTAGGTGAAGCACTTGAGGTCAGGAGTTCAAGAGCAGCCTGGCCAACGTGGCAAAACCTCATTTCTACTAAAAACACAAAAATTATCTGGCATGAGAACTGCTTTAACCCGAAAGGTGGAGGTTGCAGTGAGCCGAGATCGCGCCACTGCACTCCAGCCTGGGCAACAGAGCGAGACCCTGTCTTACAAAAAAAAAAAATTAAATGTATACAGATTTATATACATTAAGTGTATATAAATGTCACTCCACTAACGGGAAAAAATGACACCTTCCAGATGGTGGTCCCAAGGGGCCGGCCGCCCCACTGTCCTTCACATTAGGGGGAGGAAGGTGGCTGCTGTGTGCTTGCAAGTCACCTGCTGATTTGGACTGTTGTGTGCTCTCACCTATACTTCAAGATTTGCAATTTTTTTTTTTTTTTTTTGAGATGGAATTTTGCTCTGTAGCCCAGGCTGGAGTGCAGTGGCACCATCTCGGCTCACTGCAACCTCCACCTCCTGGTTCAAGCAATCCTCCTGCCTCAGACTCTGGAGTAGATGGGACTACAGGAGTTTGCAACCATACCTGGCTAATTTTTGTATTTTCAGTAGAGATGGGGTTTCACCATGTTGGCCAGGCTGGTCTCGAACTCCTGACCTCAGGTGAGCCACCTGCCTCAGCCTCCCAAAGTGCTGGGATCACATGTGTGAGCTGCTGCGCACGGCCAAGATTTGCAACTCTTGTGTTTCCAAGATGTCTTGAAAAAAGTTTTAAAGGTTTTTTTTTTTTATAAAATTATATGTATTTTTTCTTCAATAGGTAACACATGCAGGAGATAGGAGGTATGAAATGCAGGAGTCAAACAGGCCCTGTCCCGCCTACCGCCTCTCCTCGGGACCAGGCTGTGGGTCTCTTGACGGTCTGCTCAAATGCTTCTAGGCTTGCTGGTGTCTCTTTTCCTTTTGTTTATAACGCTTTAAAAATTGATCATCCATTAAAATTGACTTTTTTCTTTCGGTGGACAGTTCTACAGTTTCTTTTTTCTTTTTTTTTTTTGAGACAGTGTCTCCTCCCTCTGTTGCCCAGGCTGGAGTGCAGTGGTGTGATCTCGGCTCACAGCAACCTCCGCCTTCTAGGCTCCAACAATCCTCCCACCTCAGCCTCCCAAGTAGCTGGGACTACCCAAGTGTGAGCCACCATGCCCAGCTAATTTTTGTATTTCTGGTAGAGACGGGGTTTCACCACCTTGCCCAAGCTGGTCTCGAACTCCTGAGCTCAAGCAATCGGCCTGCCTTGGCCTCCCAAAGTGGTGGGATTATAGGTGTGAGCCACTGCACCCGGCCTCAGTTCTACCGATTTTAACACATGGATAGATGCATGTAACCACTTTGGGAGGCTGAGACAGGAGGATCACTTGAGGTCAGGAGTTCAAGACCACCCTGGGCAACACAGGGAGACCCTGTCCCTAGAATACATTTTTAAAAATTAGCCAGATGTGGTGGCGTGCACCTGATCGTACCACTGCACTCAAGCCTGGGTGACAGAGGGAGACTATGTCTAAAAATACACATATATATATTTTTGGGGGGGTCGGGGGTTGGGGGAGAAGTAGGGATGCTACAAGCATTTTTTCTTTCCTTTTCATTTTTAAAAATTAAAGCGTAAAGATACAGTAAAATAAACTCATCATTTTTAATGTAGGTTTTTCAAACTTTGACACACACAGAGCTGTGTCTGTAAGCCTCAGCACAATCAGGAAACAGCCTCTGGCAACCACCAATCCCTTTTCTTCCCTAGATGTGCCTTGTCCAGAATGTCCTATCAACAGGACCACAGGCGTGCAGCCTTTTGAGTCCGACTCCACAGCATTCTGCGTGAGATGCTGCATGTGTGAGCGGTTTCTCAGATGTCAAGTATAGGGTATTCTCACAAAATGTTCTTTTCTGCATTTTCAAAGAAAGAGAAGCTCAAAATTTCTACACTGCTCTGAGAGAAGTGGTATCAGACCTCACTGCGACAAAGTGCAGGGCTATGGAGTGAGACAAGCACAACCTGTGGCGTCAGGAGCGAGGCACCTGAACTCCGCCTTCGCCGATGATCAGCAACGGCTGGGGATGAGACGCCGGCTCTGCATGTGCTGGCCTCCTGAGCTGTCGTCAGATCCACAGAGACACAGTGTCTGAAGTAGCTACCCTTTTAATACTGCCTGTACCTTTCTAACTACAGATAGAAAAGGGTCATGTTTATAAGGTACGGCGGTGCTAGTTTTTATTTCACTTGAGTCCATACAAAAAGCAAAAAGCGCCTGTTCTATAAAAACAGCAGAAATGATGCTAAACAGTTAACACCAGAGAAAGCTAACGGGAAGAACGTGGGCCTGGGGTCCCACCATCCTTGCCACGCAAACATCCACCAGTGCCTCATCCACCTCACACTGTTCTGAGCACACGAGGCTGCATGACCACCGTGAGGATCTCTGGAGGTGGGAACGATGCTAACTGTCCTGTTCTTCGTGCACATAAGACTCACACTCCCACACACGGTATTCCTTTTCCTGCACATTATTTGACGCTATCCTGAAAAGAAAACCAGCAAGTGAAATCGAATCTGTCCGTAGAGGGTGGGAATCCTGTTCACTCTAAGTCAGCCCTTCTCCTCTAATAGAGGTTAGTTGTACTTTTAGAATGGCCTAAATTATTTTTCTAAGTACCAAGAAGTTACATATTCATTCATGCCAACTATTTTAAATATTTCATTGCAAATAAGTGATTTTTATCAGGCAAGTAATACGTAATGAACTTCCCCTAAAAATAACAGCTTCCTAATAGTGCTTTTTCTAAACAGAAAATAATGACTGCAAAATAATTTAAAAAAAAAAAATGTAACCCCAAAAATGTCACCTTAACTGTTAAGATCCCCAACCAGCCTCTATCTAGTCTCAACATTACCACCATATAATCTCTGGATTTCTCAGTTTAATCACTTCTAGGGGAAAAAACCCAGACTACCTCTATATGCTCACTACGCAAATTTCCAGTAAGAAATCAAGGCTTTGTAACCTGGCTGGGTGCAGTGGCTCATGCCTGTAATCCCAATACTTTGGAAAGCTGAGGCAGAAGACTGTTTGAGTCTAGGAGTTCAAGACCAGCCTGGGCAATATTGTGAGACCCTGTCTCTACCAAAAAAAATTTTTTTAAATTAGCCAGGTGTGGTGGTGCACATCTGTAGTCCCAGCTACTTGGGACTCTGAAGGTTGAGGTGTTGAGGACTGCTTGAGCTCGGGAGGTTGAGGCTGCTATGACTGTGCCACTGCACTCCAGCCTGGGCTGACCCTGTCTCAAAAAAAAAGAAAAAAGACTAACCTCCTGCGCCTTCTCAAATAGTCTGGGTCCTGAAGAAAACACTTACCAGGCCTGCACGACTCTGCGATGCTCAGGGCACATGCCTGACCAGACAACCAGGTCCAACAGCGAGTTTGCCCCGAGGCGGTTGACACCATGTGCAGAGGCACAGGCGGCCTCCCCACAGGCGTACAGGCTGGGCACAATCTGATCCTGGCCATTCCCGTGCCTCAGGACCTGTGGAAAGGAAGATTTCAGGTGAAATGTCAAGATGCCCATTCCTCCACAAGCCCACCTCCCTCAACAGGGTGTCTGTGCTGCAGGTCAGAGAAAGAGAGGGAAGTAGGTCGGGCATGCAGTGGCTCACGCTTGTAATCCCAGCACTTTGGGAGGCTGAGGCGGGTGGATCACCTGAGTTCAGGGGTTCGAGACCTGTCTGGCTAACATGGTGAAACCCCGTCTCAACTAAAAATATAAAAATTAGCCAGGCATGATGGCAGGTGCCTGTAATCCCAGCTACTCGGGAGGCTGAGGCAGAAGAATCGCTTGAACCTGGGAGGCGGAGGTTGCAGTGAGCCGAGATCGCGCCATTGCACTCCAGCCTAAGCGACAGAGCGAGTCTCCATCTCCAAGAAACAAAGAGAGGGAAGTAAAGACCATATCTAAGAAGGAAGTAAGGACCATAGCTACTCTTCTTCAGAAGGAAACTTCCGAATGTATACCCCAGTTTCCCCTCTGCCCCTGAGCACCTGCTGTTACAAGCAGGTCAGAGGGCCTCCAATGTCAGCATCTGCGACTGTCCCCCGTGTCCCATGTTCCCGAGGCCCTCACCACCTGTGCTCCAGCTCAGACCCAGGAGCACGGCAGGTGGAGGAACATCAGCAGGGGAGACTGATGTTCCAGACTCTTCTACCCCCTGTTCACCTCTTCATCTATGCGGGGAAAGTAACAGCTTCCACCCACCTCGCCCAACAAGGAGGCTAAGTGACTGACAAGCTCTGTGTGAACCGCAAACCACTCACAGGTATGAATTATAAAGATCCTTCGATGTACAAGATCATTAGAAATAGGAATTATAAAGATCCCTTGATGTATAAGCTCATTAGAAATAACACAAGATCATATAGGAAAGTAATTATAAAATGGGAAAAGCTGCAAATGATGTATCTATGACAGTTTACTAAGGAGGAATAAATTATTAAGCCTCCTTCCATCCTCCAGTGATAGAAATTTCAAGTGCAATTTAGCAAACAATACAGTACTTTCTGGAAGGAAACATCTGTCTCTTCCTCTAAGATCTAAAGAGACAACTGCGAGATGGGCCCCATTGTCCCAGCCTTCTTTCCAGCTGTGGGAGAGAAGCCAGCACCATCACCTGCCCCTCGTAGCTGGTGGGAATGCCGTCCATGTTATAATGCACGGTGGGGAGGACAGGGATCGGCTCCTTCGTGACGTCCACACCAGCGAAGATCATGGCTGTCTCTGAAATGCCGGGCAAGGGCATGGCCAGCTGCTCTGGAGGTAGGTGGTGCAGCTGCAGGTAGACGTGATCTTTCTCAGGGCCACAGCCTCTGGTAAGACAGAACACCATCACATAAGGCAGAGAATGGCAACGGCAGCAGACCTGAGAATACGTCATCTTGGAAGCGTGTGAGTTTCAACATGTTTTGATACTGAGGAAAATTTCCCCTCATGTACGGCCACCCTCTCATCAAATCTTTTCTAAGCATCTACTGTATGCCAGGGACAATCCCAGGTGCTGGGACACAGCTGAGAACCAGAACAAAAACTCTGCCCTTACTGAACTCACACTCGTCTCAGGGATCACAGCCTGCAGCGGCTGTCCTTGGTAAAAGCATTAGGCCTCTATGCCAAATAGTCGTCCCTGCGTATCCGTGGCAGGTTGGGTCCAGGACCCCCACGGACACCAAAATCCGTGGATGCTCAAGTCCCTAATATAAAATGGCAGAGTATTTGCATATAACCTATGCACATCCTCCTCCATATTTTAAATCATCCTCATTTCAAGTTTTACATTTAAGTTGTACAGCAACTCCAGGATTACTCATAGTACCTAATACAATGTAAATGCTAGGTAAATAGCTGCTACACTGTGTTGCTTAGCGAACAATGACAAGGAAAAAAAAAAGTCTGCGTGTTTGTAAGGATGCAATTTTATTTTCAGTACATAGTTGGTTGAAACCACACATGTGGAACCGATGGATACGGAGGGCCACCATATTACAAGAAACCATCCGACTTCTTTTTTTTTTAATATAAAAATGTAAAACCTCTAAAGGCCACACCAGATACCAGCAGATATTT
This sequence comes from Homo sapiens, assembly GCF_000001405.40. Taxonomy (NCBI): domain Eukaryota; kingdom Metazoa; phylum Chordata; class Mammalia; order Primates; family Hominidae; genus Homo; species Homo sapiens. Next base: position 42,226 of record NT_187532.1, on the reverse strand, counting down.
AGCAAGTGTTATCACATTAAAGAACAGGGTCAGGCAATGAAAGAGCTGCAAACTGTTCTTCTGAAAGGCAAATGACCCACACACTTTGAAAGCTGCCGAAAAACATCTGTGGGTATCAGACACCACACCCAAGGCTCACACGCCGACTTCAGGTTGGGTGCGTGTCTCTCTCTCCCATACTCCGTCACATACTCACACACACTAAGAGAAACTCTGTTCCACAGATTTGAGAAAGAAACTGGCTAAAATTTTCAAAATGTAGGTCTTTAGGAAAATATCGCAGACTAACAGACGCCTGCCGGCAGCTGAGAGAGGTGGCTGTGCACATGTGCCTGCACACGAAGGTGAGGGCGAGCGGTGCTGAAACTCACAGAAGCAACCCCGGCCCGTGTGCCCGCTCAGACAGTGCTGGTGGTAAACCACACGCACCTTCCTTCGCGGATCTCCAGAGTCATCCACCGAGACACCACATCTCTAGACGCCAGGTCCTTCGCGATGGGGGCGTATCGCTCCATAAACCTTTCGCCTTGACTGTTAATGAGAATGCCTCCCTCTCCACGACATCCTTCCGTAATGAGACAACCAGCACCATATGTGCCTGCAAAAAACCACACATTTATAACCTAACAATTGCTAGGTCTCTATTTCAAATGCATTACTTTTTTTTACAAGATATTTTTTGGGGGAGAGACAAAAAAGATATGCAGAAGGCATTATATGCAAAACTGAACAGAAAGAACAGTTAAGATACAGTAGAAAGTCTGGATAACAAAAAGCACTGACAAGGCTGACAGCTGCAGCAGAGGCTGGGGCAGAGTGGCGTCCCCAGAGAGGAGAAAGGCCGGCCCACAGACCTCTGGCCAATACTCTGATTACAGCCCGGTGTACGTTGGATGCCTCAAATTTTGTTTTAATTTTTGAACATTCTTTTGCACTATGATACTGTGGTGACTAGTTAAGAATACTAGCTTGGAGAATTCATATCTAAGTTACCCAAACAGTGGCAAGAACAGTAATAATGATTATTTTAGTTCATCTTTACACTGCACTTGCTATGGGCAGTTCTAGCTGCTTTCCACATATTAAACTCATTTAAGTCTTACAACAACTCTGGGTAGTATGACCCCCTTTCTCAGTGACAAGCAAATTAACGCTTGGTAACATCCAGTCATGCAGCTGAGGACAGAGCTCAAACCCAAACCTGGGCAGTCCGGCGGTCTGTGCCCCAAACAGCGGCTCTGTGACTCCTCAGTGCGATGAGAAACAGGGCGTGCCAAGCTCTCGAATTTTAACAAAGGAGATCAAAAACCCTAAACTAAATGTATTTCAAAAGCTACAATTTTTATTAGTATACAAAAAGGGCAATCTTGCTTTCAAGACAAGAATGTGATTCTTGCATCTCACCTGCCTTTTGATTTTCTAAGTTTCCATGCTCTTTTTTCTGTGGTTACTTCTCACATATTGAAGACAAAGCATGAGAAGTGGAGCTCTAAGCAAATTACAGAGGGAATTCAGGGGCTCACTGACATTTTGCTGATTAAAAACAGTAATAAAAAATACAACAGGCCGGGTGCAGTGGCTCATGGCTATAATGCCAGCACCCTGAGGGGCCGAGGCAGGAGGATCGCCTAAGCCCTGGCGTTTGAGACCAGCCTGGGCTTAAAATGGTGACACCCTGTCTCTACCAAAAACAAAAAAACCCTCAAAAATTAGCTGGGCATGGTAACACATGCCTGTAGTCCCAGCTATTTGGGAGGCTGAGGTGCAAGGATCGTTTGAGCCTGGGAGACAAAGGCTGCAGTGAGTCAAGATTGCTCCACTGCACTCCAGCCTGGGCAACAGAGCAAGACCCCATCTCTAAACAAATTAAAAAAAAAACCTACAACAAATCCATTTCTTATTTTCATCCCTTCCAGGGATCAGAAAGCTGACACTGACAGAGAAAGAGAAGACACAGGTCTGGTTCTTTGGCACCACTTCAGGGGTCTCCATCGTCCACAGGTCAGAAAAGCAACCCAGAAAAGTCCAGGACGAGTCACCTCAAACAAGAGGCAGACGTGTGTGTGTCTGTCTCTGACTCATTTTGAAGAACCTCCTCCAAACTCAAGACTTCAACTGTCATTTCTGAGTTAATGTCTCCAAATTGCACATTCGTAACCTCAACCGTCAGACGTCCCCAAGACGAGCTCATCTTCCCCACGACAAGCTCCCTCAGTGGTCACGTGGGCTGAGCCCAGCGCCCAACGTCACATGGGGTTCTCTCATGGCTGTGTCTTAACTTTACATCCCATTGTCACGGAAGCTCTGTGTTGTCCTACAAAGCTGAAATCTGCCTGTGCTGCTTCTTGGTTCCACGGCATTCACCCAGCTCTCAGAATGCTCACTCAGTAAACCCCGATGGAGACCCTACCATGTGCTGGGCGTGGAGCACCCCAGTTAATGAGAAGACCTGCCTGCCCGAGTTGCTGACAACCTCACTGCAAAGAGGGACACTGAACAATTCCTGCTTTACTTTTTTTTTTTTTTTTTTTGAGACGAAGTCTTACTCTGTTGCCCAGGCTGGAGCGCAGTGGTGCGATCTCGGCTCACTGCAACCTCTGCCTCCCAGGTTCAAGCATTCCTCCCGCCTCAGCCTCCCAAGTAGCTGGGATCACAGGTGCATGCCACCATGCCCAGCTGATTTTTTTATGTTTAGTAGAGATGAGGTTTCACCATGTTGTGCAGGCTGGTCTTGAACTCCTGACCTCAGGTGATCCACCTGCCTTGGCCTCCCAAAGTGCTGGGATTACAGGTGTGAGCCACCATGCCCGGCCTCAATCCCTGCTTTACTGCTGGCATAAGTATCACCAAGGCAGGGTTTAGGGCTCTTGAGAAATGCATAAGATGGTGGCCCAAACTGCCTTAGGGGAAGGGGAGTGTGGGAAAAGTCTCCTTAAGGAAATGACATTGAAGTTAGGACCTGAGAGCTATGGAAGCTGATCTTCAAAACCATGTTATTACATAAAACTATGGAAGAGCAATGAGTAGGCACCACACGCTTACAAGACACACGAGCCGAACGCCTTCCGGGCAAGGCGTCCTGCCCTACCTGTGGGGTGGAACTGAACAAACTCGAGGTCCTGGCAAGGAAGGCCTGCCCTGGTGATCATGGCCGTGCCGTCGCTGGTGCTGGTGTGGGCAGACGTGCAGCTCAAGTAGGTGCGCCCGTAGCCTATGGAAACAACAGAGAGCAGTGACTGCACACAGTGGCCCACGTCCGGACCTCCTGTCTAATGAGATCACAGAACGGACAGGGCAGCCCCCGGGCACCATCTTCTCAGTGCTGTGTGCACACAACCCCCTACTCACGCACACCCCACACACATCACTGGGGGCCACGCCAGTGGTGCTGCTACCCTGCGCAGGTAGGATAGAAGCCTGGGATCAGAGAAGAGACTTCCATTTATATTTTATTTATTTATTTATTTATTTTGAGATAGGGTCTAACTCTTGTCGCCCAGGCTGGAGTACGGTGGCACAATCTCGGCTCACGGCAACCTCTGGCTCCCAAGTTCAAGTGATTCTTCTGCCTCAGCCTCCCAAGTACCTGGGAATACAGGTGTGCACCACCACATCCAATTGATTTTTGTATTTTTAGTAGAGACTGGGTTTCGCCACGTTGGCCACGCTGGTCTTGAACTCCTGACCTCAGGTGATCCACCCACTTCGGCCTCCCAAAGTGCTGGGATTACAGGCATGAGCCACTATGCGTCTGGCCCTATTTGTATTTTAGATTTGTGCTGTTCAAAAGGTTTCCCCAGTAAGCATATACTACTTTTATAATGAAAATTTTAAAATTTTTATGGATTTTGTTTTTTTCCCCCAGATTTACTGAGGTATGATTGATGAATTAAACAAAAAACAATACTGTATATATTTAAGGTGTACAGCGTGATGATTTATTTTGTGAACTGATGACACAATCAACTTAATACACATCTATCACCTCATACAATTATCCTTTTTTTTGGAGATACAGACACCTAAGGTCTACTCTCTTCGCAAATTTCAAGTTATATTAATGATAGCCACCGTACTGTATGATTTTAACTGTAGCCACCATGCTGTATAATGTTAACTCTGGCCACCATGCTCTATAACATTAACTCTAGCCACCATGCTGTTTATCAGACCTTCAGAACTTCACCTTGTGACGGGAAGTTACACCTTTAATCAGCATCGCCACAGTCTGCATTCCCCCAGCCCCTGGCAACCACTGTCCTATTCTGTTTCTGTGAGTTGTGACAGTTTTAGATCCACATATGAGTGACATGCAGTATCTGTCTTTCTGTGCCTGGGTCGTTTCACTTAACATAATGACTTTGGGTTCATCCACGTTGTCACACATGACAGGATTTCCTTCGTTTTCATAGCTGAATAATATTCAGTTGTGTACACACACCACATTGTCATTAAACACCAAAAATTTTTAGGTTGTTTCCATATCTCGGGTATTGTGAATAACGCTGCAATGAACATGGGGGTCCAGGTGTCTCTTTGAGCTTCTGATTTCATGCCCTTTGGATATACACCCAGAAATGAGGTTGCTGGAGCACATGGTAGTCCTGTGACTTTTGAGGAACCTCCAGAGTTTTCCACAATAGTTGTACTAATTTACATTCCCACCAACAGCACACAGGGTTCCCTTTTCTCCACATCCTCATCAACACTCACTATCTTTTGTCCTCTTGGTAACAGCCATTCTAACTGGAGCGAGATGAGATGATACTCATTGGGGTTTTAATTTGCATTTCTCTGGTGCTTGGTGATGTTGAGCATTTTTTCATACATCAACTGGCCATTTGTATGTCTTCTCTGGAAAAATATCTATTCAAGTCCTTTGCCCATTTTTAGTAGGGTTGTTTTTTAGTAGGGTTTAGTAGGTTGGTTTTAGTAGGGCTTTTTTTTATTTTTTATTTTTTTTTGCTATTTTAGATACTAAGATATCATTAGATATATGGTTTGGAAAATATTTTTTCCCACCCTGTAGTTTTGCTGATTTTTTTTCTTGGCTGTACTGACACTTCTTAACTTTTAAAGTGGCTAAAGTAACTGCCACTGTATAAAATTAAAGTTTTTTATTTTCATTATGTGGAGAAGACAGACTTATCTATCCCAGGAATCAGTATAAACATAGAACCCACTAAAACAAGAGGGATTTTGCCAGAAAACCCCATGTGACTCTTCGGGCCACAGTTTCCTCATCTAAAATCGGGAGAGGTACGCTGTGAACCTGACGGCAGCCACTACCGACTAATGAGGGCCATGCTTTCTCACCCCGAGGCAGGTGCTGCTGTCCTCACCCTTTACAGGTGAGGAACCATGGCTGGGAAAGGCCATCACCCTCACGTGGTTATATCAAGGCCTGTGTCTGAACTGCTATTCTACAATGCCTCTATTTTCCTTAAAATAAAGAGACTCTAAATGAAATTTATTCATTTTTACAAAGGAAATAAAGTAGAAATTAGATTCCTACCCTGTGGCAACAATAGTATTCTTTGCTCTTATGCGATGGATGGACCCGTCCTGTATGCACAGTGCGAAGACACCACGGCACTCCCCATTCTCCATCAGGAGATCCAAGGCAAAATACTCCACAAAACAGCTGGTATCATATCGCAGAGACTAAAAGAAAGAAAAAAAAAGGGCAAGAAGTGTTAAGCCAACCTTTAAGGTTTTAAGGTGATATCTGCTCATGTGAATAGGTGAAAGAACTTGATCCAAATGGACCAGGTAAATCCAAGGAGATCAGCAACAGTGTCAATGACACTGTCAGAGCCCGAGAGGCATTCCACGCCCAGCAGTACCAACAAGGCAGGTGTGCTAGAGAACGCAGCAGCAACAGCTCCTATGTTGGTGACACATTTCCTACTTCTACACAACCCGAAGAGGCACTCCACACTGTCCGGTGGCCGCATGCAGCTCCACTCGGAGTCTGGTGCCAGAGTGAGATCCGCAGACCATGGGGTCACAGCCCAGATGGGAGCTACTGGCAACACATAACCACTTAATTAATTAAAATAAGTCAAAACGTTCAGCTCTTCAGCTACACCTGCCACATTAGCAACAGCCCCATGTGGCTGGCAGCTACCAAAGCGGACGGTTGCAGACGAGCAGATTCCGGCACCGCAGAAAGGTAGGCGCCGGACAGCGCTGCCCGCCTGGACCTGCCGTTCCCTCAGCCAGCGCAAGTCGCTCTCGTGAGCCTGGGCCAGCTCCCCACATGACAGCTCCTGCTCCGGAAGGAGCCGCCGTCTCCTCCCACCACACACTTGTCGATGCACTCAGCCACAGAGAAGTCACTGGTGTTCTAACAACCTGCACATTACTGATCCGTCCCCATGCATCAGAAAACAACAAAGCTCAGAACATGGATTACTCTGAATCAATACTGTTCAGGATATTGTTTGGTCATGCCAAAGTTGACCCTGATTACCCAGTAACTATTGTCACCTCAAGTCTTTGTCCAGTGATAACAGTTAATATGAAAACAATCCATGGCCGGGTGTGGTGGCTCACACCTGTAATCCCAGCACTTTGGGAGGCCGAGGCAGGTGGACTGCCTGAGCTCAGGAGTTCGGGAGCAGCCTGGGCAACATGGGAAACCCTGTCTCTACTAAAATACAAAACATCAGCAAGGCGTGGCGGCGTGCACCTGTAGTCCCAGCTACTCTGGAGGCTGAGGCAGGAGAATCGCTTGAACCCGGGAGGCAGAGGTTGCAGTGAGCAGAGATCGCGCCACTGCACTCCAGCCTGGGTGAGAGTGAGACTCCGTCTCAAAAACAAAGCAAAACAAAACAAACAAACCAAACCAATCCATTCAGGAACTCAGAGGTGGTAAAAGAGCCTTAAAATACTTGTTCTTTGTCTTTTTTTGAGACAGGTCTCCTGTTGCTCAGGCTGGAGTGCAGTGGTATGAACATGGCTCACTGTCTCAAGTGATCCTCCTGCCTCAGCCTCCTGAGTAACTGGGATTACAAGCATGTACCACCATGCTCAGCTACTTTTTAAACTTTCTGTAGAGACAGGGTCTCACTATGTTCTCCAGACTGGTCTCAAACTTCTGGTCTCAAGTGATCCTCCTGCCTTGGCCTCCTAAAGTGCTGGGATTACAGACGTGGGCCACTGTGCCTGGCCTGCTTGCTCTGTTCTTACATGCTGAGTGTCACATATCCCAAGTGAAAACCTGGTATATAAGATTATCAATTCAACTTCCCAACATAGAGGCAACAACTCACACATTGCCTTAGGGGCAGCTTCTCAAGGCACACGCCTGCTCCTGTCACATCCACAGTCGCTGCATGTGCCCCACACGGCTGTTCTCTGTTGCTTTTTACGCAATCTCTGGCTGACTCACTGGGCACGCTAACCCATTCCCCGCTGTCACCACAAGCCCCAGCACTATGTGTCCTGTCTCAGGTGGACGGGGGGCAGCCTTACCCTCCCATATAAGGTGTGCAATATTGAGTGGCCGGTCCGATCAGCCACACAGCAGCACCGATGGGCCTGCCTGCCCTTTCCAAACTTGAGGCTGTGTCCGCCAAATGCACGCTGATAAATCTTCCCATCTTCAGTTCTGCTAAACGGCATGCCATAATTTTCTACCTGTGAAAGATAAAAACAAACAAAAGCCTTATTACCCTAAAGGAGTCAAGATATTCACAGCTAATCTACACTAAACAACTTTAATACAAATCTGCAAACCCAAATTAACCTATTTTATGAAAATGTCAACACTTCATCAAAGAGAAGTTTTTCTTATTACATGTAATACATAGTTCATGATGGACAAAGACTTCTCTTGTGAGCTTTGCTAATCACCATTCTTTCGGCTGCCACATCTGCCTCAACTGCTTACATTTTTTCCAGGACTCTTGTACTGGAAACAGACCACCAGAGCACCCAGAGCCTCCCGCCCATCACCTCGACCATGGCAGTGGGGGCCTGCTCCGTCACGTAGTGGATGGCATCCTGGTCCCCCAGCCAGTCGGAGCCCTTCACGGTGTCATAGAAATGCCACCTCCAGTTGTCCTCCTCCATGTTCCCCAGAGCAGCATTGATTCCAACCTGGAAACACCAACCACTCCTTACAAGCCACAAACAGGAGCCCCAGCTTTGTCTTCCAGGCCCAAATCCACCCGCTGGGGGATTCAGAGAAAGCCAGCTACTCACATGGTGACTCCCAGTGAGGGCTGACCTCAGCAGAGGAGCAGCCAGGCCTGACAGATTCCAGATCACAACCCCTCCCAGACTCACCCAGTGATTCCATCCCTTAGCCTCAGTCTCCTCATCTGTGTGGTGGAGACAGAGGGAACTCCAGGAAGGGCTGACTGGAGCAGTGAGTGAAAGGCTACCTGTAATATGCTTATTACCTAACGTATCTGGCACAGAAAAGGTACTCCATGAATCTCTCCGCATAATTTTATTAACAAATCTTCCCAACGGCATTTACGGGCATGTGTTAAAGATTAGAAGTGCTTCCTGCCAAGTAATAAACTCCATACTCAGAGTCGCACTCCCCTGTACCCCTACTTCCTTTGGCTGTGTGTGCCCACCACCGTCTTACCCCTCAGAGAGTCCCAGAAGACAGCAGCACCAGGGACAAATGAAACCCTTGCCCTTTTCTTCCCCAACCTAAATTCTGAATCCTCCTCTTTAGATGATCTCCTTTTCTTAAGGTGTTGGGGTGGCAGGGGTGGGTGGGGAGGGTAGATGGTCAGAGAAAACCCAAGTGTGACTGGAGTCTGAATTAAGAGTGACAACAAGGCTCCCGCCCTTCAAAGTCCCCAGGGAAGAGGCTCCAGGGAGAGACCCCTGAATGGGTGAGCTGAGTAAGGCACAGCAAGAGGCCAAGTGGCTGGAGCACAGGGAGGAGGCAGGAGGCTGCCCAGGTAGAAAGTGCGAGGCTGCGCGGGACCTGCACGGAGTGGGAGCACAGTGGGGCACCTTTCTCTTACCTGCGCTGCAACAGTGTGTGACCTGGTAGGAAACAGCTTGGTAACACATGCTGTATCAAACTCTGCCTCGGAAAGGCCAAATGCAGCTCGCAAAGCCTGCCCCTCCAGCGCCTACCACCACTGCATCAAATTCATGATCCACTACTGGATACTGAGCAGAAATCTGGAAAAGAAAAATTCACCTGTCAAGCACAGGTTCCACTATGCCAAACATGAAGACTCTTGTGCCAGTGAAAGAGCTTGACAAAGATAAAAGGAGCAACTGCTGGGCACACAGGGCCTCCATCCTGTCCTGGGGCTGAGCCCTGAACAGTGCAGGGAGAAGTAGGCACATTCGCACCTGGAGAAGGGACTGATAATCAGATTCTATGAATGGTAGAGGGTCTATTCCATGGGATCAGACTGAGGACCACAACTCTACTTCAGGGCCGTGCCTATGCTTATGCCTGAGAAGGTACCAAGGAGCATTCAGTCGCTATTGTGAGCTTATGAGAAAAGAACTTCTCAGCACGTTTCAGTTTTCCAACAGAGAGAGAACAGGCACACTCAATACCAAGGAACCCACACCGGAAGGGCCCCACGGTCCTCTTTTCAGTAGGATTTTATCATCTATCACAGCAGATACTGTTCATTTTAATTTATTGCTTTACTTGACCTAAATTTAAATCTAATTTATAGATACATAACAGATACAAGTAAAAATGTTAACATCTATGTTTATATTGGTACTTGCAATTAAGTATTATTACACTGAAAATAATTTCAGCATGCATTGGATACCTATGAGAAATTTTTCCCTTATGTCTATGACTCATATGAAAACAAACTGGTATAGATCCTTACCCCCAAGCCAAAAAAATCATTTATAATGGAACAAAAAGCATGAACTTACGGAATCTGAAACTTTAGCAGATGCCCTCTCGTTCCTTCAACAGTGAAGTGAACACCTCGGGTTCCTGTTTGCAACACTGTTGGCCACTGGAGACACAGAAGACACAGATCCAGAGGGTTAGTGTCCTGAAGGAACAAATGCTGTGGGGGATAGTAATTCAAACTTCCCCTTGAAAACTGTTCACCTTCTTATGTACCCAGGTGCTCCTGTGCATCCAGAGAGCTCAGCTGGGACCCTCTATTTAACCCTGAAGGGCAGCCCAAGGGGCAAGGAAGGACTGAGCCCCCAGGTCCTCCTTTCCACCCTGACTTGGCACTCTAGAAAACCAGGATGAAGCTTGTTTCCAAAAAGGATACTCACTGACTCAGATACGAGATGAAAAAGACGCACTTCCTCTGGGAAGTCTTCACTTATGCTACTTAGTGGAGGAGGGGAAAGACATCCAGATCGTATTACTGTATGTGGTATTTTGCAAATAATGAAGCATTTTAACCGGCTCCATCAGAGCCCTTTCCACATTACAGTTCCAATCGTCCAGGAGGGCTTGCGGTCAGTTCAAAAGGCACTGGACACCTGAATCAGGAGATCTGTATCCTGGAACAGTAAAGGCTGACAGCCCAGAGGGAAGAGGTGTCATCCCTTCATCACACAGGAGGATGTCGGATGCACACTCTCCCCTGCCTGGTTGATGCTGGCTTTTTCCTGGCCAACGTCTACAACTTGACATATCTCACTGCTTAAATTTTCCATCTTAGAAACCTTTACTCAAGAAAACTGGTTTTAGTGTTTAGTTTTTAGTGGCTCTGTGTGAGAGAGGTCACACTGTCCCATATGCTAAGGTTGGCCAGCCATTTAGGGGATACGTTTTCCATTCTGCTGGCGGCATTTTAGAAGACCACTGAATAGTCTCAGAAATATCATCAAGAATAGTTTTAGGGGCTGGGCGTGGTGGCTCATGCCTGTAATCCCAGCATTTTGGGAGGCCAAGGTGGGCAGATCACCTGAAGTCAGGAGTTCGAGACCAGTCTGGCCAACATGGCAAAACCCCCTCTCTACTAAAAATTAGCTGGTCGTGGTGGCGGGCACCTGTAATCCCAGCTACTTGGGAAGCTGAGGCAGGAGAATCGCTTGAACCCAGGAGGCAGAGGTTGCAGTGAGCCGAGACTGTGCCACTGTACTCCGGCCTGGGCGACAGAGCGAGACAATGTCTCCAAAAAAACAAAAGAAAAAAAAAAGCTTTAGGAAATTATGCACTCAGCAATCAGAAGAGGGGATGTGAGGGATGTCTTCAAGTATTTAGAAATACTTGCAATTCACAAATTACTTATTATGTGGGATAAAAAATTATTCTTCATTTCTCCAATTTCTAGTCTGTTTTTATTGACATAAGCTAATTTAGTTTTTTCTTTTTTCAGAAAATGAGAAAGAACGAATATTCTTCTACCTTAGTATAATTTTTTACATGGTAAAATCATATTTTAAGAAAGAAGTCTTTGAAATAATTTTAATAAAAACGTTCTTGAAAATTTTGTAAAGTGCCCTATTAACATAGGTAATAGCACCAATAAAAACAGTACATTATACCAAATGTAAGTAGAAACAGTGAGATCACTAAATGTTTATTCGTTCTTTCTAGGATGTTGATGTGGAATACACACTGCCCACTCCCCACCACACACACACACAGCTGCCTTAAAAGGGGCAGCTACTATAACACAATCTTGAACAAATCATCACGCCATCCCCCTGGGGAAAAGGACACTAACCCTCTGCATCTAAATCTCATCTGGGGCAGATTTTTGAATCTGGAAAGCCCAACTTCAAGCCAATGTCAGTCTTTAGATAAAACTCAAAACTACTTTTGACACAAAACTAGTCTTTTGTGCCAATTATTAATTTTTTAGGAGAAACTATCAAACATTTCCTCTAAGAAAAAACATGGGGAACATATAACTAAAAGGAATACTTAGACCTTGCTTAACAATACAGAATTTCAGATGACTGAATCAGGAGGTGGAGGGGGAAAAGTAACAAGTGCAGAGACATTCATATCCGAAATCTAGCAAAGTAAGGGGTCCTCATCGAATAAAATGCACCTATAAATCATGAGCAAGAAACGAATCTGCATGTACAGCCTACACAATCACAAAAGCAGCCAACGAAGAACCCAAAAACGCACGACTTTCTGTAGGAAAAGCTACCTTCATCAAGATAAAAAGACTTTTACAAAACCCAAGACTAAATTTTGGTTCCATTTTGCTATCTTGCCATCTGGTCTGAGGTGCCTGGGGCCTTAGTCTGCAGAAGGAACACTGGGCACCATCTGGGTTGGGGACAAAGGCACTGGCTCTATCTAGCTTCTCTCCAACCACAAGCTACCATTGCCCCTAAAAAGTCCCACTGACCATGGGCTTCACCTCCTGCTTGTGGACGCCCTCCCAGCAGCTCCTAAGAGCCCAAGATGCGGCGGGGGTCTCTGCTCAGTCAGCACCAACCACAGCAACACGCTAGAACGGTTTACACGCTTTCCGATGTTGACAGGATGGCTGTATGACTAATCCTCACATTTAATTCAAAGAGATTTTCAATAACTATTTCAAAAAGGAGAAAATTGCACAATCACAGGCATAATTCAAATCAATATTGCTGAATGCCTTGGTTCCTCTATTGAGATTTTTACTCTGCAATTTAAAATTACTTTGTAATTAAGAGGTGGGTGGCTAAGTTCATTTAAAAGAACCAAACAACTAAACCTATCCAATTTCGCTTGATTAAATGAAATCCTAGAAGGCCGATTCTGAAGATGCAATCGTAGAGGGCACATTCAGACACTCAGAGAGCAAGGGCTCAGGGAAGTATAACCCTGACCATCATCCTGGACTAAGCCGAGCCCGGCCCTCGAGGTACTCAGCGCACAGGCAAGCACAGGTCCTGGAGTCCTCGCTCGGTCAGTGCCCTGAGCTCTCCGTCTGATTTTTAAAAACTGGCACAGCTGCTTTTAAACACCGGCACATTTTTGTGGCACAAGGGCCACCAAACGGGACCCAAAGTACAGGTCCTTAACTTCCAAGATCCCGAAGTGGACATGCACAGATTTGCGCTCTCTGGAAAGGGGAACTGCAAGCCCAAGCTCGGGCGCGCCGCGCTTCCCACCGGACACCCACCCGGCCGAGCCCGGCCACTCCTCGCACCCACCCAGGCGGTTTCACCCGCCCCGCCGGCCCCACCCACGGGCTGCGGGCGGCCCCGCAGGACAACCCTCACAGAGGGCGGCAGAGGCCCGGCCCAGCCAGGACTCCACCCCGGTGACCTTGGGCAGACACGACTCCTCCCCGAGTCCACCCGCCAGGCAGAGGCGAGGGGCTACCTCAGCCCGCGAGGTCGCCGGACCCCAGGCCCGGACCAAAGCGGCGGAGGGGACGCCCAGCAAGCCCGCGGGGTCGCGACCTTCACCGGGACGCGGCCTACCTGCTAAGGACCGAGCTCCCCAGGCCCCCGAGTACACTCCGCGGCTCCCCCTCGCACCGGCCCAGGGCTCTCCCAGCCCCTTCCCGATCCCCGGGCAGGGGGCGCGGGCACCCGGCGCCCGCTCCGCTCGGACCCGCTGGGGACCGTCCCGCTCCTACCGCCGCCTCGCCCCCCGCCTGCCCTGCCCCGGTCCGCGGCAGGGACTCACCGCCTTGGCCAGCGCCAGCGCCAAGCGCCGAGCGCTTGGCAACCGCGACAGGCCCCGGACCCCCGACACGTCTGTAGTCGCCGCCGCGCAGTCCCGCCAGTCCCTGCGCAGACTGCGCCTGCGCACCACGGCCGGGTCAAGGCGGGGCGCTAGTGGGGGACATCGCGCCTGCGCACCACGACACGCCCGGGCAGGGGTCTAATGGGCGGGGACGCCGCGCCTGCGCAAAGCGGACCCGCGGACGGTGGCGCTGGGTGGCCACGGAGGTCCCGCGCTCCCCGACCGAGATAGGGCGGGCCCTATTTCGGGGAGATGTTGGGCACCAACATTTTTTAAAGCCCCGTGGGTGGTTCTCCGGGATCTCCCAGACCGAGAGGGCCTGAACGTCCAGACCTCAGGGAATGGGGTCGAAGGGGCGGCGCTCGTCCGCGGAGGTGGGCGGGAGCGGCCCGGGGCCTCCGGCCTCTAGAGAGCGGGAGTGACCCTCGGTTTCTGGCCTCCGAGGGGCGGGAGCGATCCTCAGCCATGTCCCTAGTGTCTGGCTTCCGGCTGATTTTTAAATTTTTGGTAGAGGCGGGATCTTGCTCTGTTGCCCAGGCTGGTCTCGAACTTGTGGCCTCAAGCGATCCTACCTCCTCGGCCTCCCCAAGTGCGGAGATTACAGACAGAGCCACTGCGCACGGCCGTGGTCAGCTTTGAAAGCTGGGTAGATCCCTTTGGCTCATACGCCTTTCTGCTAGCTTACCCTGATTCTGCTTCTGGTTCAGATAGTATTTTAATATTTCTAGTGTGTCTTTTTCTAAGATATCTGAAATCTTTTTGTGGAATGAAGTGGCATGAAAAATAAACCAATAATCATTAGTAAGTATGTTTCCTGTCTTTTCACTTTATTAAAATCTTCGTCTTGTGCATCATGTTTAACAATTTTATTTTAGTAAATTTGCAAGGGTTCAGTCCCATTTTACTGATATTTGGGTTGTTTCCCATTTTTGCTCTTAATAACACCATACAGAACATATTTGTGACCATAACTTTCTCTTTAGGATTATTTTTTTAGATGTATGCCCCAGACGTGACCTTTATTGGCTTGCAGGGAATGAACATCATACCTCCTAGACTTATTTTTTTAAAGTTACGCTGTTTTAGTCCTGGGTTAGTTACCTAATTTTGTTTGGTTTGAGACGGAGTTTCGCTCTTGTTGCCCAGGCTGGAGTGGAATGGCGGGATCTCGGCTCACCGCAACCTCTGCCTCCAGGGTTCAAGAGATTCTCCCGCGGAGCTTACAGTGAGCGGAGATGGCGCCACTTCACTCCAGCCTGGGCAACAGAGCAAGACTATATTGCTTTAATTTACTCTGCCGGCTATCTGGAGAGATGCAACCTCATCAGCAGAAATTATTTCCACCCTGCTGCTTTTTAAATGTTATTTCCTATAGCCAGGTACTGAGCCCTTCAATTGAGGTCTAAACCCTCCACCCTCTCCCTCCGGGATTGCCAAGCCTGTGGTTTCAGTTCCATGCTCCCAGGTAGATTGTGTCAACTCAAAGTCAATGCGCTTATGAAATACTTTTTGTGGTTTTTTTCTTAATTTTAAGAGGTTTTTTTTTAAAATATGTTTTTGTTTCATGGAGGCGACACCCTCTGTCTCTGAGTTGTGGGAGCCTTCCTCCTTCAGTCTGCATGTACTGAAGCCAGTGTTTGCCGTACCAGCCCCTCAGCCGCAGCAGCCCACAGTGAGGTGCAGGTGCTCACGCCATCGCCCCAGAGAGCTCCTCCATTCGCCCCTCCACCCGTAGCCCCTCGAAACCACTGCCCTGCTCCCCGACACGGTACACTGTCTTCTCCAAGATGTCATGTGTTGGCATCCTTTGGCCTGTGCCCACCGAAACTAGCTTCCTTCAACGGGCATGTAGCCTGGGAGACCTGGGGCATTTGGGTGCATCTTTCCACTGCTGGTTGGTGCCCCCTGTGTGGAAGCATCCGCGTTAGTTCACGCCTTCTCCTGCTCCTGCCGACGGACATTTTGTTTTCTTCCAGTTATTGGCAATGAGGAATGAGGCCTAAACACTTGTGTGCAGGTTTGTGTGTGCACGTTTAAGTTTTCCCTTGGGGGACATTTCAGCAGTGGGGTTGCTGGATGACATGGTAAGGATGTGCTTAACTTCGTAAGAAACTCCAGGACCACTTTCCAGCATGGCGGGACCCCTCCCATTCCCACTGCAGCTTATGAGGGTCCCAGTTCCTCTGCATCATCACTAGAACCTGGGTTGGCCCATGGGTTTTGTCTGTTTTTAGCCATTTTAATGGATTTGCAGAGGTACTGCTGACTGGCATTTCTCCAGCATCTCTATGATGTTGAGCCTCTTTCTCGGGCAATATGCCCTCCTTATACCTTCTTTGATGAGGCCTCCGTTCCAATATTGGCCCTCTCTTTAATACTGGGGTTTTTACTTTCTTATGGTTAAGTTTTGATGGTTCTTCATATATCCTGCGTGCCAGTAGGTTGTGAGACGTGTGATTCACAAATGTTTATTTCTAGACCATAGTTCATGTTTCATTCTCTTTGGATTTTTATATTGCTTTATAGAATTATAATTTTAAATTTATGACTAAATTTAATTTGTCAATCTTATGAATCATGCTTTTGGTGTCATGTCTAAGAACTTTTCGCCTAACCCCAGGCCATACGAATTTTCCCCTGTGTTTTTAGCTAAGGGTTTGATAGCGTTATGTTCTCCATTTAGGCCTTTAATAAATGTTGAGGAACATTTTGTGACCGCCATGGCCATACCTTTCTCCATCTCTCACGGTATCGTGGGCATTTGCAGCTCCCAGTGCGCCGTGCTGTTCCCGTCTTCTTGGTCTGCTCCTCCTGTCATACCTTTCTCCGTCTCTCACAGTATCGTGGGCGTTTGCAGCTCCCAGTGCCCCGTGCTGTTCCCGGCTTCTTGGTCCGCTCTTCCTGTGAGTTTCAGGGCACGTCTTAGTGCTGGCACTGTCCTGGTCCATCGGGGGTCCCATGAGCTTCTCCATGTGGGAAGGTTGGGACTGTGATGTTGACGGGATGCCCTGTGAGTCAGGAGGAGGTGCTGACGGGGGTTTCCATGTAGGAGAGAGAGGTGTTTGGTTTTCCGGATGGGGCAGACTTGAGAGGGGACAAACTTGAGAAATGCCACCAATGAGAAGGGCACGCACAGCAGGTCTCGGGGCCGCCCAGCCGTGTGGGAGACAAACGTGGATGTGTCAGTGGCCACGCCAGGAGGTAAACCCTCAACCAAGGGCCTCTGGGTGTCCAAGACCAAGTCTTGCTCAAGAGGTGTGTTCAGCTGAGCCAACCATGGCAGAAATGCATAAGGGAGATCCCACGGTTCCTCTGTTTAAATCCCCTGCTAATCCCACCAGACTCAGAGAAGCAGCCAAGTCCTCACAGCAGCCTGCAACCCCCGCCTGACTCGGCCTCCTCTTGGCTCTGATTCTCTGCACCCTTCTATCCCTGTCTCTTCTTCCATCAGAGAGGAGATCCGGCACGTTTATCCTGGTGGATTCAAACCCATCTTTGCCCCACATATAGTCACCGGAATGAATAGGTATAATCTAGAAAGAGTCCTTTTGAAAAAGAAAAAAGCAGGCCGGGCATGGTGGCTCATGCCTATAACCCTGCAGGGACCAGCCCCACAGGGTCGGTGGGTCTCTCCCTGTGTGCGGCGACGAGAGAGTGTAGAAATAAAGACACAAGACAAAGAGATAAGAGAAAGGGCAGCTGGGCCCGGGGGGCCACTACCACCAATGCGCGGAGAACGGTAGTGCCCCGAATGTCTGGCTGCGCTGTTATTTATTGGATACAAGGCAGAAGGGGCAGGGTAAAGAATGTGAGTCACCTGCAATGATAGGTAAGGTCACGTGGGTCACGTGTCCACTGGACAGGGGGCCCTTCCCTGCCTGGCAGCCGAGGCAGAGAGGGAGAGGAGACAGAGAGAAAGACAGCTTATGCCATTATTTCCGCATATCAGGGACTATTAGTATTTTTACTAATTTACTACTGCTATCTAGAAGGCAGAGCCAGGTGTACAGGATGAAACATGAAGGCGGACTAGGAGCGTGACCACTGAAGCACAGCATCACAGGGAGACGGTTAGGCCTCCGGATAACTGCAGGCGAGCCTGACTGATGTCAGGCCCTCCACAAGAGGTGGAGGAGCAGAGTCTTCTCTAAACTCCCCCGGGGAAAGGGAGACCCCCCCCCCTCCCCGCCCTTTCCCGGTCTGCTAAGTATCGGGTGTTGTTCCTTGACACCTTTTGCTATCCGCCTGGTAACAGGCATCTTCCCAGACGCTGGCATCACCGCTAGACCAAGGAGCCCTCTGGTGGCCCGGTCCGGGCATAACAGAAGGCTCGCACTCTTGTCTTCTGGTCACACCTCACTATGTCCCCTCAGCTCCTATCTCTGTATGGCCTGGTTTTTCCTAGGCTACGATTATAGAGCAAGGATTATCATAATATTGGAATAAAAAGTAATTGCTACAAACTAATGATTAATGATATTCATATATAATCATATCTAAGATCTATATCTGGTATAACTATTCTTGTTTTATATTTTATTATACTGGAACAGCTCGTGTCCTCTGTCTCTTGCCTCGGTGCCTGGGTGGCTTGCCACCCACATAATCCCAGCACTTTGGGAGGCTGAGGTGGGAGAATCACCTGAGGTCAGGAGTTTCAGACCAGCCTGGACAACATGGTGAAACCCCATCTGTAGTAAACATATAAAAATTAGTTGGGCGTGGTGGTGCGTGCCTGTAATCCCAGCCACTTGGGAGGCTGAGGCAGGAGAATCATTTGAACCCAGAAGATGGAGGTTGCAGTGAGCTGAGATCGCGCCACTGCACTCCAGCCTGGGTGGCAGAGTGATATTGTCTCAAAAACATAGTAATAGGAATAATAAAGGAAAAGTGCAAAAATTCAAACAACTTAACAGAAACTGGGCAAAAGAGCTGAACCGGCCCTCCACAGAAGAGGAAATGTGGAGGAATGGCTAATGAAAACATGAAGAGGGGCTCAGCCTAACAGGGGGAGATATCACGTGACAACCACCAGACGGGCAAAAATCCCACAACCCAATCCATGCCAGCGTTGGGGAGAATGGAGAGAAGCAGGAACACCAGGCACTGCTAACGCTTGTGAAGTATATTTCTGCTATGCTTGTATATGAAAGTGTGTGTGTTGTGGGTTATGAGGAAAATTACATTTTTACCTGGGATGAAATTTTAAAATTTGAAAGCTACTGACCAGAAGAAACTTGCGCTTGTGTACAAAAGAAATGCCCAAGAACGTTCCCAACAAAACACAGTCCTAAGGGCCCCAACCTGGCCAAACACTCATCCACGGGAAGATGAAGACATTTCCCATGCTCCCCTCAGACGACGGGAGACCATGCAGCAATGAAAATGAGCCATGTCAGTGTGGGTGGGTCTCAGGGAGAGAATGGAGGACAAAAATAGACACAGAGCAGGTGCTCAGAGCCATGCAGTGCAGGAGCAGCCACGCAGGAGAATTCCCTCACGTCAAAGTTCAAAACTACAGCCGAGGCAACAGAGCAAGACCCTGCCTCAAAAAGAAAACAGAAAGTTCAAAAACTAAATGGCATATCTTTTAGGGATGTACACACACGGTGAAAGAAACATACTATGAAGGAAAGTGTGCAAATAATAAAGACTAAAGCAGGAAGTGATTCCCTCCGTAGGAGAAGGGAAGGGACTGGGACTCAGGCAGGGCCTCCAGGGAGCATCCAAAGCTATGTCTCTTCAGATTCTACTCCCTAAACTTGGTGGAGGTCCTCTGTGTCCAATGTGTCAATATTCTTTATACCTTACCCATACTGTAAAAACGCTTTATTTCTATTCAATATTTAGAAGACAGTTATAAACAAGATGCATTCAATAGCATGGTGGCAGATGAACATCAGGAAGGAACATCCATGAGCTTCCATCCACGGAACCTCACCATGGATACGCTTGTGATCAAGGGCCTGGTCTCCCCTCAAGACACGGTCACAGATCAGAGGCCACACCATCCTAGCAGTGGAGCAGGACCAGCTGGGACAGGGTCCTTCTGTGACACCTGCTGCATCACCAGGCTGGGTGAACGGACACAATTGCCAGAACTCACAGAATAGAAGTATCAGCACCGAAACCTCACAGGAAAAATGGTAAGTTCTAAGTTTCTCCATTAATAGTAACTCTCAGATTAATCTCTGTCATCCATCGCTTCTCCAAGAAATGACTTTTTAGGGTGATGTGCCAGGCGCCATGTTGGAGGGCTGGTGGTAGCGGCTTGGGGAGGTGCTCACTCTGTCGGTCTCACTCTCTCACACGCTTCCCCGGCTCCCTTCGTTCCCCCCCACCCCACTTGGCCTGCGTGCTGGAGGGTGTGCGAGGGAGTGGGAGGACGTCGGGGGGTGGGGGGAGGCGTTCCGGTCCCCAAGAGACCCGCGGAGGGAGGCGGAGGCTGTGAGGGACTCCGGGAAGCCATGGACGTCGACAGGCTCCAGGAGGCGCTGGAAGATTTTGAGAAGAGGCAAAAAAGAAAGTCTGTCCTGTCCTGGATCAGTTCCTTTTGTCATGTAGCCAAGACTGGAGAAACAGATTCCGTGGTCCCAATTTAAAGGCTATTTTATTTTCAAACTGGAGAAAGTGATGGATGATTTCAGAACTTCAGCTCCTGCGCCAAGAGGTCCTCCCAACCCTAATGTCGAATATATTCCCTGTGATGAAACAAAGGGAAGAATACTGAAAAACTGTCACTGGATTTAACCGTATCCCTTTTACTATTCAGCGATTATGTGAATTGTTAACAGATCCGAGGAGAAACTATACAGGAACAGACAAATTTCTCAGAGGAGTAGAAAAGAACGTGATGGTTGTTAGCTGTGTTTATCCTTCTTCAGAGAAAAACAATTCCAATAGTTTAAATCGAATGAATGGTGTGATGTTTCCTGGAAATGCACCAAGCTATACTGAGAGGTCTAATATAAATGGGCCTGGGACACCCAGGCCACGTAATCGACCAAAGGTTTCTCTGTCAGCCCCCATGACAACAAATGGGTGGCCTGAGAGCACAGACAGCAAAGAGGCAAATTTGCAGCAAAATGAAGAGAAAACTCAGTGACTCTTCGACATCTGAATCAGAAGTTTCCTCAGTGAGCCCTTTGAGAAATAAACATCCAGATGAAGATGCTGTGGAAGCTGAGGGGCATGAGGTAAAAAGACTCAGGTTTGACAAAAAAGGCGAAGTCGGAGAAATAGCCAGTCAAGCGACTTGCAGCGAAATTTCTTCAGTTATGGTAGAAGAAACAGAAGCATCACCTTCATCTCATGATAAAGACAAAAAAAGCCATGGTACCCGGCAGCGCGTTCAGAAGAAGATGAAGATGAAGAGGAAGAAGAAGGGATTGAGAGACCATCTGTAAAAGGGAGGAGTAAGGAGATCCTCAAATTCTTGCATTCATTGTTTTTGTGAAAGAATTGTACATCATGGAACTCCTTGTAATGTCGACGCTGGGCTTTTCTCCCACCTGTATGCAGTTGCTGCTGAATTTCAGGGGATGTGATTTGAACTACAGAACATCAGAATTCACGAAACTTAACTGTGGAGGTATTTTGAATATAAAATTTAAGTACAACAACATTTGCTTATTTTTAGAGTCTTTTATGACATCAAGAGAAATGGTCCCAGAAAGAAAAAACCAAGAAAAAGAATCTGATGATGCCTCAACTGTGAATGAAGAGACTTCTGAGGAAAATAATGAAATGGAGGAATCTGATGTGTCTCAAGCTGAGAAAGATTTACTACATTCTGAAGGTAGTGAAAACGAAGGCCCTGAAAGTAGTGGTTCTTCTGACTGCCGTGAAACAGAAGAATTAGTAGGATCCAATTCCAGTAAAACTGGAGAGATTCTTTCAGAATCATCCATGGATAATGATGACGAAGCCACAGAAGTCACCGATGAACCACTGGAACAAGACTATTTAGAAACATTTACATGCAGTATTTTACACACAGTTCTGGTTTTAACACTGTATAAAACTTTTATGTAAAAAAGTGCACCTTTAGTTTTATAAGAAAAGCAGGTTGTAAAATAAAGTACTTTATGGATAATTCCTGAAAGAGTTGTCCATGTAAGAACTGTGAATATCAGCTCCTCTGGGTCCTGCTTACCTTACCGCTGATTTCTTTTTCTTTCTTTCTTTCTTTCTTTCTTTCTTTCTTTCTTTCTTTCTTTCTTTCTTTCTTTCTTTCTTTCTTTTCTTTCTTTCTTTCTTTCTTTGGTCTGGGCAAATCAGTGGTTTGTGTATAGATTTTTTTTTTTAATTTAGGATTAAAGTTTTTAAACTGGAAAGTAATTATAATTTTGAACAGTTTTTTGAGATTATCACATTTAGTTTATACATATGCAAGAAGCTTTTTGTCTTGTGTCTTTCTGATAGCTCCAGCAGTTTTCATATTTTGGTCATAGTTTCAACATTTTAACATGTGAATAATAGAGTTTCATGCTGGTTTCCAGATTTTATTGTTCGGATACATACAATAGAACCTTAAGTTTTATATATATATATATATATATATATATATATATATATATATATATATATATATTCTAAGGGGGAAAATGTTATATTTTTCTGTTTGTATAAGAGATAAATACAGTGGATACTTTTTCTATTGGTAATGACTGAGTTCACCTCTTTCAGAAGACATTTTCTTTCTCTTCTGAGTAACTGAAATAAAATCTGGCCTCTGTGAAACCCTGGAAATACCACGACCCTCAACTAGAAACACCAATACCAGCTCCTCCGCGAGTTTCCAGCTCCACAACCTAAGACATCAGAGGCAGCATTGGTTCCTCACGTAGAGTCCAGCTCCGGGACCCTCATATTTGAACCGCAGGGCCATCTCATCCCTGGATCTCCAGCTGCACCACACTCAAATTAGAACAACATCAGTTCCTCCCCAGGTCTCCACCTGCACAGCCCTCGAAAGGGAATGTCAGCTCCTCCCCGGGTCTCCAGCTGTAGGGCCCTAAAACTAGAACATCAGCTCCCGCCTGGGTCGCCAGCAGCACCACCCTCAAACTGGAACATCAGATCCCCACGGGTCTCCAGCTGCAGGGCCCTCAAACTGGAACATCAGCTCCCCACCAGATCTCCAGCTGCACGGACCTCAAACTGGAACATCAGCTCCCCGCCGGGTCTCCAGCTGCACTGCCTGCAAACTGGAACATGAGCTCCCTGCCCGGTCTCCAGCTGCATGGCCCTCAAACTGGAACATCAGCTCCCCACCAGATTGCCAGCTGCACGGCCCTCAAACTGGAATATCAGCTCCACCCCGGGGCTCCAGGTGCACAGCCCTCAACCTGCAACATCAGCTCCCCACTGGGTCTCCAGATGAATGGCCCTCAACCTGCAACATCAGCTCCCCACCGGGTCTCCAGATGCATGGCCCTCAAACTGGAACATCAGCTCCCCACCGGGTCTCCAGCTGCATGGCCTTAAACTGGAACATCAGCTCCGAGACCCTCAAACAGGAACATCAGCTCCCCACAGGGTCTCCAGCTGCACAGCCCTCAAATTGCAACATCACTTCCCCCCTGCATGTCCAGCTGCACCGCCTCAAACTGCAACATCAGCTCCCCGCTGGGTCTCCAGCAGCATGGCCCTCAACCTGGAACATCAGCTCCCCCCAACCCGGGTCTCCAACTCCACAGCCCTCAACCTGCAACACTGGCTACCAACTGGGTCTCCAGATGCATGGCCCTCAAACTGGAACATCAGCTCCACCCCCGGTATCCAGCTGCACAGCCCTCAAACTGGAACATCAGCTCCCTGCCGGGTCTCCAGGTGCACGGCCCTCAAACTGGAACATCAGCTCCCCACCAGGTCTCCAGCCGCACGGCCCTCATACTGGAACATCAGCTCCCCACCAGATCTCCAGCTGCACAGCTCTCAAACAGGAACATCAGCTCCCCACAGGGTCTCCAGCTGCACGGCTCTCAAACAAGAACATCAGCTCCCCACAGGGTCTCCAGCTGCACGGCCCTCAACCTGCAACACTGGCTCCCCACCGGGTCTCCCGATGCACGGCCCTCAAACTGCAACATCAGTTCCCCCCGGGCATACAGCTGCATGGCCTTAAACTGGAACATCAGCTCCCCGCTAGGTCTCCAGGAGCACGGTCCTCAAACTGGAACATCAGCTCCCTGCCAGGTCACCAGCTGCATGGCCCTCAAACTGGAACATCACCTCCCCGCCAGGTCTCCAGCTGCATGGCCCTCAAATTGCAACATCAGCTCCCATCAGAGCCTCCAGCTGCATGGCCATCAAACTGGAACATCAGCTCCCCCGCGGGTCTCCAGCTGCACAGACCTCAAACTTGAACATCAGCTCCCCGCCGGGTCATCAACTGCATGGCCCTCAAACTGGAACATCAGCTCCACCCCTGGGTCTCCAGTAGCACGGCCCTACAACTGGAACATCAGCTTCCCCCTGGGTCTCCGGCTGCACAGCCCTACAACCGGAACATCAGCTCCCTGCCGGGTCTCCAGCTGCACAGCCCTCAAACTGGAACATCAGCTCCCCGCTGAGTTCAAACTATTCCAGTTTGAGGGCCGTGCAGCTGGAGACCCGGCGGGGAGCTGATGTTCCAGTCTGAGGGCCGTGCAGCTGGAGACCCGCGGGGGAGCCGAACTTCCGGTTTGAGGGCCATGCAGCTGGATACCCGGTGGGGAGCTGAAGTTCCAGTTTGAGGGCCGTGAAGCTGGAGACCCGTTGGGGAGCTGAAGTTCCAGTTTGAGGGCCGTGAAGCTGGAGACCCGGTGGGGAGCTGATGTTCCAGTCTGAGGGCCGTGCAGCTGGAGACCCAGTGGGGAGCTGATGTTCCAGTCTGAGGGCCGTGCAGCTGGAGACCCGGTGGGGAGCTGAACTTCCAGTTTGAGGGCCATGCAGCTGGATACCCGGTGGGGAGCTGAAGTTCCAGTTTGAGGGCCATTCAGCTGAAAGACTTGGGGAGAAGCTGATGTTCCAGTTTGAGGGCCGTGCAGCTGGAGACTCGGGGATAGCCGATGTTGCAGTTTGAGGGCCGTGCAGCTGGAGACCCGGGTGGGAACCGATGTTCCAGTTTGGGAGCCATGCAGCTGGAGGCACTGCGGGGAGCAGATGTTCCAGTTTGATGTTCCTCCCTGGGTCTCCAGGTGCACGGCCATCAAACTGGAACATCAGCTCCCCGGCCCTCAAACCGGAACATCAGCTCCCCGCCGGATCTCCAGCTGCACAGCTGTCAACATCAGCTCCTCCCCGAGTCCTCAGCTGCACGACCCTCAAGTTAGAACATCAGCTTCTCCCCAAGTCTTCAGCTGCGTGACCCTCAATCTAGAACATCAGTTCCTCTACAGGTCTGCAGCTGCAAGACCCTCAATCTAGAACGTCAGCTCCTCCCTGAGTCTCCAGCTGAAACACCCTCAAAACGAACAACATCAGCTCCTCCCTGAGTCTTCAGCTGCACGACGCTCAATCTACAACATCAGCTCCTGTCTGGTTCTCCAGCTGCACGACCCTCAAACTACAACCTCAGCTCTTCCCCGAGTCTTCTGCTGCATGACCCTCAATCTAGAACATAAGCTCCTCTCTCGGTGTCCACCTGTAGGGACCTCAAATTAGAACGTCAGCTCCTCCCAGAGTCTTCAGCTGCATGACCCTCAATCTTTAACATCAGCTCCTCTCCGGGTCTGCAGCTGCATGACCCTAAAAATACACGAGCAGCTCCTCCCTGAATCTTCAGCTGTACGACCCTCAAACTACAACATCAGCTCCTGTCTGCATCTCTAGCTGCAGGGCCCTCAAACTAGAATATCAGCTCCTCCCCGATTTTTCACCTGCATGACCCTCAAACTAGAACATCAGCTCCTGTACAGATTTCCAACTGTAGGGCCCTCAAACTAGAACATCAGCTCCTCCCCAAGTCAGCAGCTGCAAGACCCTCAAATTAGCAACTCAGCTCCTCCCGGAGTCTTCAGCTGCATGACCCTCAATCTCGAAGATCAGATACTCTCCGGGTCTTCAGCTGTAGGGCCCTCAAACTATAACATCAGCTCCTCTCCGAGTATTCAGCTGCACGACCCTCAATCTCGAACATCAGCACCTCTTCAGGTCTGCAGCTGTAGGGCCCTCAATCTAGAACATCAGCTCCTCCCTGAGTCTTCTGCTGCACGACCCTCAAACTAGAATCTCAGCTCCTCCCAAGTCTTCAGCTGCACGACCCTCAAACTAGAACCTCAGCTCCTCCCTGAGTCTTCAGCTGCATGACCCTTAATCTAGAACATCAGCTCCTCCCCGAGTCTTCAGCTGCACGACCCTCAATCTAGAACATCAGCTCCTCTCCAGGTCTGCAGCTGCAAGACCTTCAAACTAGAACATCAGCTCCTCTCCAGGTCTGCAGCTGCAAGACCTTCAAACTAGAACATCAGCTCCTCCCCGAGTCTTCACCTGCATGACCCTCAAACTAGAACATCAGCTCCTCTCCAGGTCTCCAGCTGCACGACCCTCAAAGTAGAACATCAGCTCCTCTCCGGGTCTGCAGCTGCAAGATCCTCAAACTAGAACATCAGCTCCTCTCCAGGTCTGCAGCTGCAAGACCCTCAATCTAGAACATCAGCTCCTCTCCAAGTGTGCAGCTGCACGACCCTCAATCTAGAACATCAGCTCCTCTCCAGGTCTGCAGCTGCAAGAACCTCAAACTAGAACATCAGCTCCTCTCCAGGTCTCCAGCTGCACGACCCTCAAACTAGAACATCAGCTCCTCTCCGCGTCTGCAGCTCCACGACCCTCAATCTAGAACATCAGCTCCTCCCCGGGTCTTCAGCTGCACGACCCTCAAACTAGAACATCAGCTCCTCCCTGGGTCTGCAGCTGGAAGATCCACTAACTAGAACATCAACTCCTGTCTAGGTTTCCAGCTCCATGACCCTCAATCAAGATTATCAGCTCCTCTCTGAGTCCCCAGCTGAAAGACCCTCAACGTGAACAACATCAGCTCCTCCCGAAGTCCTCAACTGCATGACCCTCAAACTACAACATCAGCTCCTCCCCGAGTATTCAGCTGCATGACCCTCAATCTAGAACATCAGCTCCTCTCTGACTCTGTAGCTGGAAGATCCACTAACTAGAACATCAGCTCCTGTCTGGGTCTCCAGCTCCATGACCCTTAATCAAGATTATCAGCTCCTCCCTGAGTCCCCAGCTGAAAGACCCTCAACACGAACAACATCAGCTCCTCCCAAAGTCCTCAACTGCATGACCCTCAAACTACAACATCAGCTCCTCCCCGAGTCTTCAGCTGCATGACCCTCTATCTAGAACATCAGCTCCTCCCCGGGTCTGCAGCTGCACGACCCTCAATCTAGAACATCAGCTCCTCCCCGGGTCTGCAGCTGCACGACCCTCAATCTAGAACATCAGCTCCTCCCCGGGTCTGCAGCTGCACGACCCTCAATCTAGAACATCAGCTCCTCCCCGGGTCTGCAGCTGCACGACCCTCAATCTAGAACATCAGCTCCTCCCCGGGTCTGCAGCTGCACGACCCTCAATCTAGAACATCAGCTCCTCCCCGGGTCTGCAGCTGCACGACCCTCAATCTAGAACATCAGCTCCTCCCCGGGTCTGCAGCTGCACGACCCTCAATCTAGAACATCAGCTCCTCCCCGGGTCTGCAGCTGCACGACCCTCAATCTAGAACATCAGCTCCTCCCCGGGTCTGCAGCTGCACGACCCTCAATCTAGAACATCAGCTCCTCCCCGGGTCTGCAGCTGCACGACCCTCAAGGTAGAACATCAGCTCTTCCCCGAGCTAAAACACCTCTCCCACCTGGATCTCCAGCTCCACGAGTCTCACAGAACAGCCACACTGGCTCCTTCATTGTCTTCAGCTCCACAACCTAAGACATCAGTGGGAGCACTGGCTCCTCCCTGGACCTCCAGCTCAACGACTCTCATAGACTTAAAAGGCAGCACCTGCTCCTCCCCAAGGCTCCATCTCCACCACCCTCAGATTTGAACAGCGGTAGCACCACCTCCTCTCCAGGTCTTCAGCCCCATGTCCCTCCCTGAACAATCCCTTCTCATGAAATTCAGCAGTCAAGAAATCTGCAGCGGAAGTAAATGAATAAACGTTTTGTTTTCAAATTGATATCTCTTTTATGTTCATGAATTAACTTTTCTACTTTCCATTAGCCTTG
The DNA here is from genome assembly GCF_000001405.40 of Homo sapiens. Taxonomy (NCBI): domain Eukaryota; kingdom Metazoa; phylum Chordata; class Mammalia; order Primates; family Hominidae; genus Homo; species Homo sapiens. The sequence goes on along the minus strand of NT_187532.1, from coordinate 14,380 downwards.
CAATCTACTTATGTCCAAGGTGAAACAGAAACACACCATTTGAAATCACGTTTAAAAACTTAGTAATGTTTTTCAATAAAATCATCACACAGCTGTAGACATGATCTTATTTCTCTCTGCCTGTGCAGAAGTCTTATGAAAATTCAAACTATGAATTTACTTTGTTGAGATTCCCAGAATACACATTAATCCCAACTGTTACTCCCCTCCTTAAAATCTTTTAACACATTCCCATCACCTGAGCATAAATGCCAGCTCCCATCCACAGCCCGAAGTGCCCAGCACGGCCCTGCCCTCTGCCCTGGTCTATGGTCTCCCCTCTTAAATGCCAGCACCATCCACAGCCCACAGTGCCCAGCACGGCCCTGCCCTCTGCCCTGCCCTCTGCTGTGGCCTAAGGTCTCTCCCCGGTGCCGTTCCCTTCCTGACGGACAGGCCTCTGTCCGTTCCTCAAACCACACAGGCTCAGGCCTCACTCCAGGCCTTTGCGCTTCTGTGCCCTCTGCCTAGGGTGCCTTTCCCGGGCTCTGCATCCTCCTCTCAACCCACTGAGCTCCAGCCTGCTGGTCGCCCCTCAGGTGGATGAATACACGGTGTCCTCTCACCCCACCAGCTTTTGCACAGGCTCTTCTCTGTGCCAGACAAACACCCTATCGGGGTTTACTCTCTAAATACCATTCATCCTTGGAGTCTCCACTGAAATATCGCTCCCTGCCCACCCCCCTCACTTGGACTTAACCTTGGTTAGGTTGCCAACCCCCGTCTCCTGACTCCGGGAAGCTAGATGCTCTCCTAGCACTCGGAACTTGCCCATTGCCACATTTGCACACCCGTGGTTACTGGGTTAGGTTGGCGCACAAGTCATCGCGGGTTTTGCCATTACTATTAATGAACGGCAGCAACGGCTCCTCCCCGTTTCTTTTGTTTTTTTTTTCGCCATTACTTTTAATGACTGCTGCACCAACCTATTAGAATCATTTATATTTATCCATCCATCATCTGCCTTCCCCTCTAGAAAGGAAGCTCCATGAGAATAGAGGCCAAATCTACTCAAATCACTCCACCTTCCCAGCACATTGTTTGTCAATAATCATTTACCAACTGACTGATAGAGAAATGCCTTCCCTGTTGCTGGGATGAGGCACATGACACGCCCCTTTGAAAGTCAATTCCATGGACAGTTAGCATTTGCTCTTCACTCCTGCACCCGTGGCGTGGCTGGGCTTAGGCTGATCTAGTCTGGCCTTGACTCCAGGCTAAGGATGGGAACCATGACTGCTCCACACGCCTCTCATCCCACAGCCAGAGCCGCCGTTCCCTGGGGCACGTGCATCTCATGGGGAAAATCAAGAGCCTTAGACGGCAGGCCTGGCAGTGCCCACACATTCCAGGCTTCTGCTTGTGCCGTGTCTGTGAAAATCTCGTTGGCAGAAGCAAGTCACCCAGCCACGAGCAACACCTATGGGACGGATAAGTCCATCCACCCTCCCTCGGGCCCTGGCAAGGTTGTGGCTATGTCATACTCTTACGGGGGGAGTGAAAAATTGAGGCCCAACATTAAATCACCCACGCGAGAAATGTCAGCCTCTGTCCCCACGCTGGAATCATTTTTCACCAGCGGGTTTGCCTGAATTCCCTTTGCAATGGTGTCTGCAGGTTTAGCCCAATGCTGGTCCCCGTGGAGGACACAGAAGCCTCAATGGGCCTCCGTCTGTTGGGAAGAACAAGATATTAGCTTGGCGCAAAACCACCGCAAGCCCCAGGAGGCCCTTGTGCCATGAGACAGGAGAGGGGCAGAGAACTGTGGGAACTCAGGAAAGCTCACATCCCCAGCCCCTCCCGTGCATCCCCAGCCCCTCCGCTGTGACCCCAGCACCAGCCCTCTCCCCTGCTTGCCCCATCTCTGCTTTCTTTTTTTCATTTTCTTTCTTTCCTTGTTTTTGAGACAGGGTTTGGCTCTGTCACTCAGGCTGGAGTGCAATGGCACGATCTCAGCTTACTGCAACCTTCACCTCCTGGGCTGAAGCAATTCTCCCTCCTCAGCCTCCCCAGTGGCTGGGACTACAGGTGCACGCCACCATATCCAGCTAATTTTTTTTTTTTTATTTTGGTAGAGACAGGATTTGCCATGTTGCCCAGGCTGGTCTCAAATTCCTGAGCTCAAGTAATCCTCCCACCTCAGCCTCGCAAAGTGCTGGGATTACAGGCATGAGCCACCGAGTCCAACCTACTTTATTTTTCTCTACAGTACTTGGAACCTTCTAATGTACTAAGGACACGTGTATTTTCTTTCTTTTTTGTCTTCCCTAGAACAGGAGCTTAATGTGGGCAGGTATTTTTGTTGATCTCATTTATCACCCTCTCCCCAGTTCCTGGAACAGGGTCTGGCACATGAATGGTGTGTTCTAAATAAATATTTTTAATAGATAAATAAATGAAATATCCTACAAGAGAAAGCTATATCTGGAACTCACCCATCAACAGAACCTAAAAGCCAAAGACCTTTAGCCTGTCTCTGCCTCTGAACACACCCAACCCCGGAGGAGCCAGCAGAGGAAAAAGAGGAACAAAGGCGGGGAAGGGAGCAGGTGGTGCCCACCAAGCAAGGAACCCTGAGGCTTAGGCCGAACCTGAGCTGGAGAAGGGACTCATCTAGGAACTGGGTATGAGATTAAAGTTTAGATTGGTCTGGCCTGGATTTTGTAACACCTAAACAAGAGTTATTCTATTCTTTTTTTGTTTTTTTTTTTTGAGATGGAGTCTCACTGTCCCCCAGGCTGGACTGTAGTGGCGCTATCTCAGCTCACTGCAACCTCTGCCTCCCAGGTTCAAGTGATTCTCATGCCTCAGCCTCCCGAGTAGCTGGGATTACAGGCGCACACCACCATTCCCGGCTAATTTTGTATTTTTAGTAGAGATAGAGTTTCACCATGTTGGCCCCCGGCTCACGCCTGTAATCCCAGCACTTTGGGAGGCCGAGGTGGGTGGATCATGAGGTCAGGAGATTGAGACCATCCTGGCTAACACGGTGAAACCCCATCTCTATTAAAAATACAAAAAATTAGCTGGGCGTGGTGGCAGGTGCCTGTAGTCCCAGCTACTCAGGAGGCTGAGGCAGGAGAATTGCTTGAACTCCAGATGCAGAGGTTGCAGTGAGCCAAGATCAATGCCACTGCACTCCAGCCTGGGTGACAGGGCAAGCCTTCATCTCAAAAACAAACAAACAAACAAACAAAAAACCTTCAAACGAATGTAAGAATTATTATTTTTTAAAGTACAACTTTAAAAATGCCCCTTACAAATACATCAGTGTTATATTAAGGGAAACCCACTTCAGAAGCACAAAGTTAATTTCTTATAATTCCAAGAAATATGTGAATGTTAAAAAAAACCCAAACACCCGAAAAGGGATCAATCTCAAGATAGTTTGTAACATTTTATTGCAAAAAGAAGGGCAGAGAACAGTCTTCTTCATACCTGTTCACCGTAATAATTTTTAGCAGCTCTCCTGTGCAAAGAAGTCTCATCAATCAATCAGCATACGGGCCACAAATACCTTCTCAGTGCGGTTTCACCTACAATACAAGCACTCAGAAGCACAAATTTAACTGAAGTGAGAAACCAGGCCATTTTGTAGCTTCAGTTTTTCTACCAGTAATATATTAATTTCTTGAAATAGCCTAATAATTTAGTTCTACTATCAAAACAGAAGCCCAATCTGGGAGAACAATTATTATACAAGTCAAACTAATTTCAATCATATTAGTATAGGAATTCATATTAGTATAGGCTAATAATTCATATTAGTAGAGGCGGGAGGATCGCTTGAGCCTAGGAGTTTGAGACCAGCCTGGGCAAGACAGTGAGACTCCATCTCTAATTTTTTTTTTAAATAAAGAAACTCAGAGAGGAGAAGGAAGCGGATTGATATGTGTCTATCCAAGCACAAATTTTGTGTGCCTGTACATACAACACGACTATGAACCTTCCTTCACGCAGCTCACAATCTAGTAGCGAGAGAAAAGTACGAAAACATGAGCCCCCACGATGAGGAAAAAGGCGCATATCAGAGAAAAGAAAAATGCTGCGATGATCCAATGGCAGGAGCAGCGCGCATCCACTTTCTTTGTTTTTTTGAGATGGGGTTTCGCTCTGTCTCCCAGGCTGGAGTGCCGTGGCTTGATCTCAGCTCAATGCAGCCTCAACCTCCCAGGCTCAAGTGATCTTCCCATCTCAGCCTCCCAAGTAGCTGGAACTACAGGCGTGCACCACTACACGTTTACTTTTTGTAGAAACAGGGTCTCACAATGTTGCCAAGGCTGGCATCCTGAAGGGCGGGTGGGGCTTCATCCTACAGAGATGAAAGGCAGAAGAAGCTCAGAGCCCAAAGCAAAGGGGTGGAGGACAAGGGCATCTTCAGAACAGAGTGGCTCAGCTGAGACATCCAGTAGGATGCCACCAGGCAGAGGTGTGGTGGAAAAACACAGGGCCACAGGGTGAATGCTCACATGTGAGGAGCAAACCACCACAGAACACAACAGAAACACGGTGTACTAAATCAGGCTTCAAATCGCAGCCCTGCAACTTCAGAGCTACCACAGGTAACCCAGAAAGGGAGCACGGACAGCACCGCCCACTGCCTGAGGCTATGAGATGGACCAGAAACCTGTGCTTACTAACAACCTGCCTTATTCCAGAAGGAATTCAGGAAACACAAAGACACTCACAGTACAGCAAAATAAAGTAAATGTGAATCATGTTGGCTGAGGAGAAAGTGAAGAGTCTAAGACTATGTCATAAAGTTTACCTCTACTCTAAACTCTCATTACTGGTGAGCCACCAATCTGACTTTAAGTTTTCTAGCAGCTAAATTGAAGAGGAAAATGTAATCAGGTAAAGGTTTATAAGATGCAAACAAAACAGGACAGCCACCACAGTTTCTGAGAAGACGCGCAGCTCCAGCTCCAGGAGAAACAGGGTGGCCATCTCCTGGGGCTGCCCCGCAGCAGGTGTGTCAGCCCCAAAGCCAGCGTCTCTCAGGGTGAACGGTGACTATGGGCTTCATGGGGCCACACACCTCCAGTACAAGCTGAGGAAATCTCCCAGGGCAATTCAAGGAACAGGGTCTCACAATGTTGTCCAGGCTGGTCTCAAACGATCCCCCTGCCTCGGCCTCCCAAAGTGTTGGGAGGTCAGACGTGAGCCACTGCATCTGGCCCCGCATGCACTTTATAGAGGAGGGCTTTGCATCCTGAAGGGCGAGTGGGGCTTCATCCTGCAGAGATGAAAGGCAGAGGAAGCTCAGAGCCCAAGGTAAAGGGGGGCGCCTAACAAAAGCGACTCCATTGGGACCACGGTGAGAGGGTCCCCATACACAGCTTGGGTTAAGCCAGACACTGATTTCAAAGTATCTCAGGAATGGTGGACTCAGCACCTGTCAGGCAATTCTCTCTCTCAAGCAGGCTCCTGGTAGATATTTAGTAGCAGCTGAAATCAAGATTATGTTCTGACTGACACTTGCTGAGGGTTAAAGAGCTATATACGCTTTGAGGACCAGCTGAACTGGGGCAGGACTAACACCCTCTGGTGAAAATACGGGAACCCAAACACACGAGTCAGAGCAGGAGGTGTCTCCCCCACCTCCAAACAATAACGCTGACCTTGGATTTGGGTTAAGTGCCTAGCCCAGGGGTGTGAGTGTTCAGGAAGTGGAAACCATCATCACCATCATCAGGTAATGGAAAACCATCAAAGCTTTGAGCTGGCTTGTTAGCCAAGAATAGTAGTAGTGTATTAGCTACTACTAATACTCACAGCTGACAATTACTGAGCACTTGCTCCGTGCCAGGAATCACGGAGGCACCTCGCATGCATTTCCTCAATACTCCCTCCCAGTAACGGCGAGGACACAAAACTGGTAGAGCCAGGACTGGAATCCAGGCAGGCCCCAAGGCACTCCAGTGGAGCCTGCCAAGGAGGGCAGGCTACCATGCTAATGAGGTCCAGTATTTGACCACCACTCCTAGTTGAGCAAATTAACAGAAAACCTAAAACTAAACTTAAAATCTAAAAATTTGAGCAAATGCATAAAAAGCAGCTGTTAAAATGGATCATAAATCTTGCATCACTCGCTGGAAAACCACTCAAAATAAACGTCTCTGAGACATGGCCTCTGAGGAGGGCACTCCGTGTGGCTCGTATCACCCTGGTGACAAACCACGTGAACCTGGGTGGTCACCTGACCATATTGAACAGACGATGCACAGAGCCATTTGCATCCACTGTGGTCAACATTTAGGAAGTTTTAAGCTAAGATTTGCCAAATTGTAGCCTACTGGATTCCGGGTTCTCTTGACATCTCTTTCTAGTCGCCATGTCTTGCACTTCCCGAGTATAAATAAACTGAGATGCAAATAAAAAAAGGAGGATTTAAGAATAATGAAAAGAGAAAAATCAAGAAAGCACAATCACTAGTGTAGAGATAACAGAATTTCTGAATTCCCTGAAAACAATCTATATAAATGCATGTGAAATAATACACCAGCATCTGTGGCCCATACGTCACATATTAGGAACTGATAACATAAGGTAAACATGTTACTCTGAAAACACAAATCCTCACAAATCATTAGGCAGTAAGACTGAATCCAGCACCTCCCCCCCCACCACCCACAGCGCAGTGAGGCAGTGTCTAGCAGCCGTAGTGCTCCCCGCGCCCCAGTTCAGTCTCTGGCAACATCAGATACTTCCCACTAATAACGAGGAGCCTTTCAACATTTTCACAACATCTCAAAACTGACCCCTTTTCTAGCTTAAATGGCACGGATCTGGAAAGGCAAACTATACACAGAATCAGAAAAGATGACTGCCCCTGAGGGATTACAGAAAAAGCAGCAGTCAGGTGTTCAATGAAGTAAAATGTATCCAATGATAGCTCAGGGGAGGGGGATCAATTGAGCTGAAACTGGCAAGAACGTAACTCCAGGGAGCTCACAACACGCCAAGGACCCAGATTTCCCGCTGCCTGAACGCCCAATATTCGCACACTGATAAGAACGCCTCCCCATAACTCCCCTGCCAGCGCCTCCAACACCCCCAATCCTTTCCCCAGGAACCCAGTCCCAGTTTCTGCAGTTCCTGTAACAGCCACGTTCCCACACAAGTGCTGCCTGAGCTCCCCAAGCCCTCCAACAATCACCCCCCAGTGCCCTCGAAGGTCTATTCAGAGAAGTCACCAAGATGCAGTCACCCAGGAAATTCAAGGACCCCCAACTTACCAAAAGGCTTTCGGCTGGACAGAGCTAACCTTCCTATTCCCCTCCTAAACCTACAACCTAGTTTTCATTTCTCAAGAAGCCTTTCCCTGCGCTCACGCACGCCGTTGTTAGCTGGCTCGGTGAGGCACTCCAAGCAGTAACAGCGGTAGCCACAAAATAAACCAGAAGCATCTCCACCATGAAGCAGTAATAATTTGTCCTAATGATTCCTTTGTCCTTGGAAAATCAACTTCAGAAAGAAAGTTATCCACTGTGAGCAGGGCAGGCTCGCGGCTTCTTGGTCCGGAGACCCAGGTCCCACTGGCCCACTCACCCTTGGAGAGAGCTTGCTGAAGCTGGGTGTCCGATATCACTCCACTCCTCTCTATCAACCCTATAACATCAAGAAGACCAAACAAGCTGGCGATCGAAAGTTCAGGAAAAGCAAAACAAACGTCTCCTGTCAACCCTGCACCGACTCTGGAAGGCTCCCTCCTGGAACCTCCGCCTCTCCGGTCCCGCTGAGGAGTACAGCGGAATCAAGGAAGTGCCCCAGGAGCCACGTCCAAGTGTGTTCTTCCCCTAAGAGGACAATCATCTTTCTCTCTCTTTTCCCACCTCAATCCTTCCCTTCCTTCCCCTCCTGACCTGTCTGAATTCCCATTTGCACCAGTTTCCCTTTTTCACAGACAAGACAAGATTCCCTCAGATAACTAAGCCATTCCCTGGCCATGAGTTACTACAGTTTCGGTCATTCATTCAGTGGAAAAGCGACCAGGGACAGAAGGCGCCGCCATAAAGGTCACCTGGCCCGAGCAGACGCCAGGTCGCTGCTTCTTCCTTGGCTGCTGACATTTTAACAGCGGCCCAGACAGTCTGTTTCCGCTTTCCCCAAACAAGCACCCTGGAGACCCTCCCCCGACGGCTCGAGGCGAGAAACGGGGCCTGGCCCAGGAGCCGGTGGCCGCGACCTCGGGTCTGCAGTGGCGCCCTCTGCACCTTGGGAAGCGCCCGACGCACAGGACAGGGACCGGGCAGGAGGCAGGGGCGGCCCCAGGAGACCGGGCAGCGGACGGGGGAGACCGCGGGGGACCCGGAAGGGGATGGGGGCGGCCGCGGGGGTCGGGGCAGGGGATGGGGGCGGCCGCGTCGGTCGGGGTAGGGTTCGGGGGCGCCCGCGGGGGTCCGGGCAGGGGCGGGGGAGACGGCGGAGGTCGGGGCAGGGGACGGGGGAGGCCGCTGGGGACCCGGCAGGTGACGGGGGAGGCCGCGGGGCAACCGGCAGGGAACGGGGTTGGCCGCGGGGGTCGGGACACGGGTCCGGGGCAGCTGCGGGGGAGGCGGGAGGTGCCGGGGCGGTGCCAGGTGGCAGCTCTGGAAGACGTTCCACAGGAAGCTCTGGTCGGGCAGCGCCGCGCCCGCAGCAGGCCCAGGGCCGCCCAAGGCCGGGGCGGTAGGAGTAGGCGGCCAAGGGCCAAGGCGCGCGGCTGGGCTGAGGCACCTGCGGCCACGGGCGACCTCAGAGCGACTGTGCTTCCGCCTCTGCCGGGGGCAGGGCCAGGCGTTACCGCCGCTTCCGGGGGCGCAGGAAATGCGCGTTGTCCGGGATCCTCCGGCGCAGGCCACCTGCGCGCGGGGCCGGGAAGGCGCTTGGAGGAAATGTCCCGCGCCGCGACCCGGGACAGGCAGTGATGGAGCAGGGATTTCGTTTGCCTTTTAGTTCTTGTATAAAAAGAAGTTTTGACGTGAATATGATTCACGCTAACAGTCGGAAACTCTGGGCGGGGCGCGGTAGCTCACACCTGGGATCCCTGCGCTTTGTGAGGCGGAGGCGGGCGGAGCTCTTGAGCCCAGCAGTGCGGACCAGCCTGGGCAGCGGGGCTAGACCCCATCCCTACAAAAATTACAGCAAGTAGTCGGGCGTGGTGGGCTCCTGTGGTCCCATGTACTCCGTGGGCTGAGGCGGGAGGATCGCCTGAGCCCGGGAGGTCGAGGCCGCAGGGAGCCGAGATCACTGCAGCTCCAGCCCGGTGGACAGCGAGACTCTGCAAAAAAAAAAAAAAAAAAAGCAAGCAGGCCGGGTGCGGTGGCTGACGCGTGTAATCCCAGCACTTTGGGAGGCCGAGGCCGGTGGATCACCTGAAGTCAGGAGTTCGAGACCAACCTGGCCAATATGGAGAAACCCAGTATCTACTAAAAATACAAAATTAGCCGGGCGTGGTGGCGCACGCCTGTAATCCCAGCTACTCGGGACGCTGAGGCAGGAGAATTGCTTGAACCCGGGAGGCGGAGGTTGCAGTGAGCCGAGATCAGGCCATTGCACTCCAGGCCTGGGCAACAAGAGCAAAACTCCGTCTCAAAAAAAAAAAAAAAAAAAAAAAAGGCAAAGCACAATTCGCGTGGGAAGGGCAGTGTGCAGCGTTCTCCGTTGTCTGTTCCGCCCCCAAAAGCTTCCCTCCTTTAGGTTTAACCTGCGCCCCCGCGCTCTGCATCAGCGCGGTCCCCGACCGGTGCAGCTGGAAACACTGGGCGCCTCCCTGCCGGGCCCCTTCCCGCCCCTGTGGTGGTGCAGCCCTGCCTCCCGCAAGACAGCACTGCCTTCGTGCTGGACACAGTTCTATGGTGGAGCCTGGAGTGCCTGTATCACAAATCCCGGAGTTGGGAAGTGCCCACCTTTGGGCCAGTGTGATCCCTGGGTCTTTCCCGGGGTGGTCTCATGCGGCCTTCCACTCCAGTCCTGTGTCCTGTGCCCCGGTTCAGAATACTACAATTATTCTCGTTATTTCATGGGGTTATTCCAGCTTTTCAGTTTCGTCAGTGCCTCATTCCATGAATGCTAACTTTTTTCATCCTCATAGTTCCTAGGGTTGTCTCTGAATTTTCACCCAGTTGCCTACCAAGATGTTGTCTGTGTCTAATGCAGGGGATGGTGCAGGTCTGAATATCTTACTCACAGCTCACCTTTTTGGTGCCTTTGATCCGTGTTAGGAATTATCCACATCTTCTCTCTGGGCAGTATTCTACTTTCTTTTTATATTGACCCAATTATTTTACTTCTTTGGTGTGTCCTTTCTCCTAACACATACGGGTTCACTTTGAAACCTTGAAACCCACATTTACAAAAACATTTTCAATATGAAACATTGTTCCATGACTCATTACTGGAGTACCATCAACATTTACATTTCCAGACCACCCACTGCCCAGTGGTTTTCTTGGTCTCAGTACTCATGAAAACGGTCTGAAGGTTTGTTTTGGGTTCCTAAGTAGTAGACACACGCACAACACTGCCTGTCAGTTATTTCTTGGAAACTAAATCAGCCCTTCTGTTGCCATCCTATCATGCTTCAGGGGTGCCTGTGCTAGTTTTTAATTCTTTGTTCTAACACTTAAATGTTTGCTCAAACGCCCATATTAATACTTCCTCTTAGTTTACAAAAGGATTTACTTTCTTACTGGTTGGGATGAAGCTGCCTGAGGTTGCCACCTGTTATTTTTCCTTCATTTATTGGACCATGTCATCCCATTACATGTCAGCCGTGGAGGTTTTCAAACTGTGGTCCCTGGACATGTTAAAAATGCAAATTCTCAGGCCGAACCAGGACTGAATTGGAAGATCTGGGGTAGGGTCCCCCCAGGACTGAATCAGAAGATCTGGGAGGGTCTGGTGCTGTGCACCCCGACATTCCCTCACTACCCCACTGCCTCTCCCTGCCCTGTGGTCACCACAGCAGCCGCCTCTGCAACCTTGACTATCAGCATGCAGGTCCCAGGACTCGGGGGTCTCCTAACCCGTGCACCCCGACATCCCCCTCACTACCCCACCGCCTCTCCCTGGCTCTGCCTCTGCGTGGCTCCTCTCCTGCTGCCCCCAGAAGGTTTTTGTAAAGCCCGACTCAGGGCGTGCATGGCCTCTCCCTCTCCCACACATGGGCTCCCCGTCCCCTCCAGCTCAGCAAACACACAGCACATCCAGGAGCCACGTGGGACCGCAGTGTCCCATGGCCGGTCCCCCAGATCCCTTGGATGTCTCACTCTGGTGAGCCCCTCGCTCCAGTGCCCTCCAGGAAGCCCCCGTCTCCCCATACAGAAGGGATCTCTTCCCTCCTGAGCCATCGGTGCCCGACCCTCCCTCTCCTCTGTCGCCCCATTTGTGGCAGGTCAGCCACACCCGTGAGCCCCGGAGCTCTGTGAAGGCCGTCACGGCTCCTTATGACGGCGCCCAAACAGTGCAGGCAGCCGGAAGCTGTTCCCTGATGAAAGAAAGGAAGAGGAAAGGAGGAGGGAGGGAAGAAGGCCTTTTCTTGTCCCGAGAGACTTCTGTAGGAATTTTTGGGTGATACTGAGCATGGTAGACCCAGGTCATCTTTCCACGAGAGGGGCCAGAGTACCGCAGGCTCAGCCGCGGTCAGGGGCTCAGGGCGCCGGGGAAGCATTCGCGTGGGCTGCCCCCACGGGCCGCCTTTGCCACCAAGACCCACTCTTCCAGCCAGGCCTTGGGCCGGCCCTGCTTTCCCTTCGGACAAGGTCTTCAGTCCACCGAGAGGATGGCCCACCTCCTGCCCCTGGGTCAGTGCGCAGCCCCAGGGAGGAGCTGTGTGAACCTGGGAGGTGCTGGGGAGCAAGGGTGCTCCACCAAGGGAGGCAGGAGGCCGGAGACCAGCCCGGCCCAGGAGGAGCCTGGCCAGGAGTCCCACCAAAGCCACTGGACCCGGGGAGCCTCCAGTGACCCAGCCTTGTAGGGTCAGCACTGTCCCTAGGACAGAGTCTGCTTCGTACACAGGTCTCGCTGTCTGTGGAGGCTTCAGGCCCCGATGCCTGGGCACACGGACTGACGGCAACCCTCGGGGTGGGAGGCCCCAGATGGGACTTCCTGGCCTGCCCGGGGTGGCGGGGGGGCGGGTGGGAGAGGACGGAGCGTCTGTGTGCATGTGTGAGAGCCTCAAGGACGGCATGTCTGTGAAGATGGCTTCACCCAGCCGCGGCTGCCTTCCGTGTGTGGGCAGCGGTGACGGAGCCGTGACCTCACGGGACAGCCTTTGCCGTGTGGTTTTCCCGCCTCTGGTCCCTTTCCTGGGCTGAGGATCCTGGCTCTGGGGCTCAAGGTGTGGGGTTCGCCAGCACCGGCTCCTGCCATAGACATCCTGGTGGCCCTGGCACAGGCCTGTCCTCCAGCATGGTTCCTAGACCCACCACGCAGGACTCCTAGGCCCCTGAGGGTTGGCAGGAGTGAGGCAGGCAGTCACCAACTGCCCTTGGGTGAGGCTGGTGGCCAGGGGGGGACCCAGCAGGTGCAAGCCAGGCCATCCCCAGCAGCCGCCGGAGCCCATGTCTTTCCCACCGCACAGCACAGCCAGGACATGGGGGTCAGGCCATTACTTACGCTTCTAGTCCTTACATCACCCACAACTTACCCCTGACCTGTGCCTGGCTGTGGTGCCCGCAGCCTGGGCTCCACATAAACACAGGCCAAGAAGTCCCATCTGCAGCCTCCCACCGCAAAGGTTTCCGGCAGTCCGGGCTCCCCAGGCACCGGCTCTGCAGCCCCCACAGACAGAGAGACCCCTGTGTGAAGTCCGGGCTCCTCAGGCACTGGCCCTGCAGCCCCCACAGACAGAGAGACCTGTGTGTGAAGAATCCGTTTGAGGGACAGTGCTGACCCTCCAGGGCTGGGTCACGGAGGCTCCAGTGGCTTTGGTGGGACTCCTGGCCAGGCTCCTCCTGGACTGGGCCTGGGCTGGTCTCCGGCCTCCTGCCTCCCTTGGTGCAGGATCCTTGCTCCCCAGCTTCCCTGGGAAATCCGACGCCTTCTGATCCTGCATGCATCCGGCACCCCTGACGCTGGCGGAGTTGCCTTTCTGCGTGTATAGCTCCTAACAGGGCAGCACAGCTGTTCTGAAACCTCACACATCATCACTGGGGTGGCTGAGGCTGGGCCACCTGGTGTTCACCTCCTGACCCTGGAACTGTGCAGAGAACCTCTCTTCAAATAGGAGGCAGGTCTTTGTGGCTGTGTTTAAGTTAAAGATCTTGAGATAAGGAGGTCATTCTGGATTAACTCGTTGGCCCTACATGCACGGCAAGTGTCCTTACACAGAGGCAGAGGGAGGTTAGACGCAGACAGAGGAGGAGGTCGCCTGGAGACCGAGGCAGAGGTGCAGCATTGTGGCCGCGGCCCAGGGACGCCTGGAGCCACAGAAGCTGGTGGAGGTGGCAGGGTCCTCCCCTGGAGCCTCTGGAGGGAGCACGGCCCATGGACTCGATTTCAGACCCCTCCCTGCTGAGCGGGGAGAGAATGAGTCCCTGTTGTTTTGAGCTGCCGAGACTGTGGGGATCTGCCATGGCAGCTCCAGGACCCTCAGACCTTCGGCTCAGAGCCCCTCTAGCACTGAGCAAGACGACCACTCAGGGCCGCCCCTCCCCGCCCAGCCAGCATGTGCCTCGCTGCTCACCCGACCACGCAGCCCTCAGTTACAGATGCCTGCCCGGGATACGTGGGACGAGGGCTGCGGCTTCCCTGGGGACGGGGTGCGTGGAGCCTGCCTGCAGCCGTGTTCCTGTTTACGTGCTGAGTGAAGCTGGACCTGGGTGGGATGGGGCATTCTGCCCAAGGGTCTCTTGGGGGGTCCATGAGGACTGTGTTCTGACGATACTGCCCTCCTTCCTGAGGCTGCCGTGGGGCTCCATGGAGGCCATGGGGTGGTGAGGATGGAAGAACACCTAGGCTGGGCTCCTGGGACCCCAGCAGCAGCTGAAGGCACTTGGAGCACCACAATTCCCACCCACGGGCCAGGCAAGCCCAGAACCGTCCCCAAAGAAGGGAGCAAGGAGACACGGCCTTTTAGTGATAATATCATAACCAAAAAGTTCTTTAACATTTTTTCATTTTTTTCTGTCACTCAATATTTTTAAAATTATATGTCCATTTTTTTTATTATTTCACCCATCTAATCATTGCCATCTATACCAAACAAAAAAATCTATGCACCGGTGTTCACAAAGCATTTAAGATGCCTGTGAAATGTAATAAGAACTAACTGCAGCTGCACAATATTCCCTCGTATGTATGTTATCACCATGCTGACGCTGGGCACTCAGAGCATTTAAAGGTTTTTATTATAATG